>NC_000007.14:88567385-88870415 GCF_000001405.40 Homo sapiens
AAACAAAACACAAAAGTGCTTTTCAAAGGAGAAGTGAGTTGAAACAAAACAGTACTTGTGCATTCATTATATCCAGAAATAGGAACTCTTCTATCAGCCCTGTGACATGCTTTGTTTATCTCTAATTACCTTTTCTCCCAGTACTGTGCCTCAAGTTATCAGTCAGAATAGCCAGGACTGGGGAAGAAGGAGAATGAGGAATAGAGGAGCAAAAAAGCTCTCACCCTTATTGCAGGCACAAGCTTTATGAGTTCCCTATCTGGGACATGGGGATAAAACAAGGAAAGTGAAGGTGTGTAAATTGTGGTGGACTATATTGAGATTGTTTGTGATCAAAAGGGCCTAGACAATTGAGAGGATCTGCCTGAAACTTGTGGCAGATGTAGCCAAGGAATTAGTTCATGAGCTTGTTTGAAGTTGAATGGAAGAAAGAATAAAGCTGTTTTCTGCTTTTATCCTGCTGAGTCCAGCTGATTCAATAAAATATTTACATATTGTTGTGTGAAGGGGAAAGAGTCCAGTATGAGGAGACATGGAAAACAAGAAAGTCAGATAGGATATAATAACAGCTAGCAAGGAATGAGTTTTAAAAACCCTAAAGCTTGTGATGAAATAGAAACAAAAAGGACAGATGTGAGAGAGATAGATGTGAGAGAGATTTAAAGGACAATTTTTGGCAGGGGATGATGGCTAACTGGATTGAGTAAGAAGATAGAAGATTAAAAGATTAGTTTGAGGTTTCAAGCCTGGAATATTGGTGACACCATTTAAAAAAAATAGAGTAATCAAAATGACCTTAATATTGGGAAAATAAAGGGATAAATGAGGAAAAAATGAATGTGCTTTGGGAAGTAACACTAAATAAAAAGAGAAAAATTCAGAGGTTCTTGGGTCTCAGAAACAAAATAGGAGCAGGTAGGATTTCACAGAAGATTGTGAAATAGTGAAGAGGGGAAATAGTTTACTACAGAATGTATATTATCTCCAAAATGCTCACTCCTGAATAATAACAATAATCACAATTTATATCATTGGTGCTTGGGGGAATACTAATAAAATTATTGAGGGCTTACTATGTGCCAGGCACCATGGGAGTGCACTAAATGTACCATCTCATTTAATTTAGGACAGCATTCTTTAGTCTGTAGTACTATTATACTTACTTTATAGAAAAGGAATAGGAGACAGTGAGTTTAGGGAACTTACTGAAGTCAGTTATTTATTATCAATTAAAGATTCTGGTACTGATTATGTCCCAAGGGAACCATCAGATATGGAAATGATCAATTTCCAAAAGAAATAAGCATATAAGATTATACTTGGACATAAAGATGGAACAGAGAAACTTGGGACTACTAGTGGGGTTGGGGGCGGGGGGCGAGGGTAGAAAACCTACCTGTCGGTTACTATGCTCACTACCTAAATGACAGGATCATTCATACACTGAACCTCAGGAACATGTAATTTACCCATGAAACAAACCTGCACATGTACTCCCTGAACCTAAAATAAAAGTTGAATTTGAAACTTGCCTCTTAATTTCTTGTTTTTAATAATAATAATATATTGTGGTTTTGGCTCCCATATCCTGATTTTGCATGCAACTATTATCTCTGAAACTTATCTTCCAATCTCTTTTTCTTAAAAAAATACAAGCTTTTAAATTTAGAATAGTTTTAAGTTTACAGAATTATTGTGAAGATAGTACAGAGAGCTCCTGTAGACCCCACACCTGCTTTCCTCTATTATTAACATCATACATTTGTATAGTAGGCTTGTTACAATTAATGAGCCAATATTGGTATATTATTTGCATCTAAAGTTCATACTTTATTCACATTTTTCTAGATTTTTCCTGTAATGTGATTTTTCTGTTCAGGATCCCACCCAGGGTACTGTGTTACATTTAGTTGTCACAGCTTCATGGAGCTTCTATGTTGTGACAATTTCTTAGACATTCTTTGTTTTTTATCATCTTGACAGTTTTGAGGAATACTGGACTGGCCAGTTATTTTGTAGAATGTTTCTCAATTTGGATTTGTTTGATATTTATCTCATTATTAGACTGGGATTATGAGTTCTTAGTGACGAAGACCACAAAGATTAGGGGCCATTCTCATCACATCATATCAAGGGTATATTCCATCTACATGACTTATCTCTGTTTACATTGACCTTGATTACCTGGCTGAGATGGTGTTTGTTAGGTATCTACACTGCAAAGTTACTTTTTAATTTATTCCTTTTCATATTACATGCTTTGGAAGAAAGCCAGTACATGCAACCCACACTAAAAGCAGTGGGGAGCTATGCTCCCCCTCCTTGACAGCAGAGTATCTACAAACATTATTTGGAATTCTTCTGCATGAGAAATTTGTCTATACACCTGCATTTATTTATTGGTTCAACTATTTGTTATATCAGTATGGACTAATGGTATTGTTTATATTTTGGATGATAATTTATTTATTTTATTGCTCAAATTGTTCCAGGTTTGGCCATTGGGAGCTTTTTCAGTTGGTTCTTGTATCTCTTTGGCTTACCACTGTCATTTTTGCGTGTGAGTACTTTCTTATTTTTCTGGCTTTGGGCTCATCTTGAATACTTTTTTTGCCATAGTCTTAGAATCAGCAATTTATCCAAGGAACCCTGGTTCCTTTTATTGGATAAAGCAATTAGAAAGCAATATCTGGACACTAGGTGTGTTCCTTGCTTTCTGTGTGTCAGTGCTTCTGTACCCTCTCAATGAATAGAACAAGGAGATATATGTGTATGTATCAACCCATGTATATGCCCATATCTATGATGTTTTCTATGTGTAACCATCTATAGCTATATTAATTAAGCATGAGTTTGTACTGATATCTCCAACTCTAATCTAGTACCACATTGATCATTTTAGCCTCCTTTCTTGCTTATCTTATTTCTTATTTCTTTCTACTCTAACCATAAGAAATCTGACTCTCACCATTCACCATTCATAAATTTAATTTTTCAATTCCAGTATACATGAATAGTGGTTCAATAATTGTTAACCCATACCCTTGGGCAAAAAAAACCTTTATCCAGTAGAGTATATACAGTGCTTATGAACATTTCACTTTGCCTTTAGTCTAAAATAACCCACTCATTTCCAAAGTTACTTAGATCAACATCTTACTCTCTCACTCCCTTCAGTGGGGTTCACACATTCGTAATAAATTTTGCTGTCTTTGCCATATTCTGCATTTCATTCTGACATCTGCCAACTTTCTGAATGATTGTTTTTAAAATTGCTTACGTTATAGTTCACTTTTCATGCTGTAGAGCTCTATGGGTTTTGCTTATTGTCATGTATTAACCATTACAGTACTAAAAAGAATGGCTTCACTGCCCTAATACATCCTCTGTGCTCCACCTAATCAACCATCCCCAGTATCTTTTTTAATATCAGTCACTTCAGTTATTTGAAAAAAGCTCAAAAGTTACAATTTGTCTTTGTGTATATGTGTATTCCACATGCACACATACGTATGCTGCTCCATGCCAGATATTTTAATAGGCCCAGGCATGCAGAAAGGATCAAGAAAGGTAGTTTTTTATCTTCATGAAGCTTACATACTATTGGAGAAAATTGCTTTTGTGGCATGTATTATACATAGAACAGATGTATAGCATATTATGATTTTATGTTATGAGGAAAACATGATTTAACCTCTGTAAGGTACATAGAATAATCCCAAGTATATAGTTGGTAGTCAGAAGACATGAATGTCATCTACCTTCACCACTCAAGTTGTTTATTTATTGAACTTGGATTTATTAGCACCCTCTACATGGGAGTGGAATGTGTCTTAGCAAGAATCATGGGTTATGTTTTCCCATTTATCCCAATACTGGGTATAATACATTCATTTCACAAGGATATGTCCAGTACCAGGGTTATTCCAGGTTCTGTAACAATGTTAATCCCAGTATTATTAGAGTGAAGAATATGTAAATAATATGGAAGGAAGCAGTTGTAAAGTTAGATTGGAGGCAAATTGTGATGGCCTTTACAGGCTTACTGAGTTGTGAATTACACTCAATTACATATGACGTAGCGGGAATGCAAAGATGATCAAGATCTAGTTCTTGACCTTAAAATCATGGAATCAAGCATGCACATAAATTATCACTCCTTGAAGCAAGTTGTGAAAGAGATGGAGGGATGTGTAATGGGGGTAGTGCTGAACCTAGGATAAGTATGGAATGAGGCAGACTTAAGTTTCCATACCAGGACACTGGTGTTATAGTGTGAACTGCTTTTTAAAAGCCCAGTCCCTATGGTGTGTTTGATTGCAGATAGTCCTGCCAAGTTTGGGGGTAGGAAAACATGTTGTGCACAAGGGCAGCTTTAAACTGTTACTGGAATTTATACATTAGAACATTTTATCCTTTTGATTCATCTTCTTGAAACGTTTATAAAATTTATAATTTTATAGTTTTTATACAAGTGTAGTTTTTATTTATATAGTTCTTATATTTTTAAAATATAAAAACTATAAAATAATTATACCCACAGGAAGTTCTAGATATGTGTTTAAAAGCACTTGTATACAATCATTCAAGTTTAACAACTTGTGTTATTTACTACATTTGTCCAATTTAAAAATAACGTTAAAATCTTCAGTGTACCCATATGTTTTTATTCACTCCTCCCTCCCCAGATATAATCATATGATCATCATCCTGAGTCTGGTGCTTATCATTCTCTCACATGTTTTTACAGTCTTCTGTCATAGATATGTATATAGACAGAATATATAGAATAGTACTGCAAATTATTGTTCTAAAAATAGTATATCGTAGGTCTCTTTGCACCTTATTCCTATGTTGTTTTTGAGATCTATTCATGCTGCTAATTGTTAAGTAAATGTTAATTTTGTAATTCATTTCCCTATTTGCTAGATGCATAGTTGGTTGATAGATACATAGATGGTTTTCTGTTTTTAGAGAAAGAATACTGTAGCAAATCATTTTGTGCACATTTTTCTGTGCTCATGTGCAGAAATTTTTCTAGACTATATATCTAGGAGTAGAATTTTCTGAGTTTTAGGCTATGCACATCTTCAAGTTTCCTGCATATCATCAAATTGCTTTTCAAAATGGTTGTTCTGGTTTACAATCCCACTGGTAGTGCATAGACATTCCTTTTGTTAGACAGCTTTGCCAAGATCTAAAGATTTTGACAACATATATGTGAAATCTTATTAATTTGTAATTTCCTGATTAGTGAGTAATGTATCATTTAATGATTTTCTTGGCCATTTGAGTTCTATTCTGTGAATTGCCCATTGAGATCCTTTATCCACTCCTCTGTTGGGTTGATCATCTTTTAAAAATAGGCTCATAAAATGTCTTTAGGTATTCTGGATTTGAATCCTTTGCAATTTATGGTTATTGCAAATATTTCCTTGAGTTTTTTTTTAACTTTGCTCTTTTTTGTAAAGAGTATTTTCATATTAATGTAATATTTAAATATATTAACCTTTTACTCTGAGTCTTATACTTTCTCTATCTTGATAAAGAAATTATTTTCTTCATTAATGTCAAAAACAATTCACCAATTTATCTATATTTTTTCTTCTTCATTGTTTTTGGTCCACTTTGCCCTTAAACCACTGATTTAGTTTTATATAGCATGAGGTAGAAATCTAGTATTTTGTCTATGTGGATAAATAATTCCCCAGATGAATTTCTTGAATGTTTCAGTCTTTCTCACAGATTTATGTCAAAACTATTATGTATATATGTTTCCATATATATGTAGGTTTACATATTTTATTTAAATATGTATTTAATTCTCATTTTATTACTTTTTTTTCCATTCATGAGCCAATAACATGTTGTTTTAATGACTCGGACATTATAGTGAATCTTGATACCAACTAGAAAAGTAGCTACATTATCCTATTTTTTCTTCAAAATTGTCTTGAGTAATCTTGGTACCTTTATTTTTCATTTAAATTTCAGGATTAAACTGTCAAATTCCATGTACACTTTTGTTAGGATTTTATTGTTATTGTATTCATTTTGGTGATTTATTTATGAATATTGACATTTTTCATAGCCAGTCTTTCCATCCACAAATATGCTACATTTACTTAAATCTTTTACATCCTCTAATTATGTTTCACAATTTCGTTATAAAACTTTTGTGCAATATTTGTAAAATTCATTCCTAAGTCCTATATAAATTTGTTGCTATTATAAATGGAATCATTCTCTCCATTATGCTTATCTATTTGTATATCTCTGATGTAGAGGCATGCTATTGATTTTTATGTTATTTATGTATACATACAGTAAACTTGTTGAGCTCTGTTATTAGTTCTAATAATTTTTCCATGGTTAATCTTGAATTTTCTATGCAGACAGTTATATCTCCTGTGGAAAATGGCAATTTTGCTTATTTCTTTTCAATTTTTATAATTTCATTTTTTAAAAAATTTTACTACATTGGCTAGAACTTTAAAAAATCACAGATTTTCAAATTTTATGCTTATGGTTATAACAGAATAGTCCAAACGTTTTAGTAAAATTAGTCTATAATATTATCTAGATATAATGTGTTTCAGAGGTAGAAGTTATTATTTTTCAATGGCATTTTGTTTATTTAGTTTTAAATTTAACTGTTTTATTTCTTCTTGAATCAGGTTTTGTAATTTATTTTTTCCAGAACTTATCTCATGTTTTTCATTTCATGACAATTCATTGTTTAAACATCGATTTCTATTTCCATAATGTATCCCCATTGTCCCTTCTGATGTTGCTTATTGTGCCTTTTTGCTTTGTCAATACTTGTAGAGATTTGTTACTTCTTAAAATTTTCTCTAAGAAACCACCTTGTTAATATTATTTCTTTATCATTCATATGATTTTTATATTGGTTCATGTTTTTCTTCTATTTTACTTATGTATAGTATTTTTTAGTTTTTGAAAATGAGTACTTAAATTTATACTTTCTGACAGCAGGTCTTTTAGCAGTTATACTAAAACTGAAAACAATGAAGTTAAATATTCCAAGTTTAGAGGGAATATATTTATCAATTTACAGTTTTTTCTAAGCTAAATTATATTTCCAGAAGAGGGCAAAATGTAGACGATATCAGGTATGCAAAGGCTGATAGAACTTAAAGCCACAGACTCTCAACAAGGATATAATTAGTAAGAAAGTAAACCCACTGAAAAACCATGAATATAAGAATAATGCTATAATTCAGAAATTGACTTTTTAAAAATTCAGTAAATTTAATTAAATATTGACATTAGGAAAACTGTTTTCATACTTACTGCTAATGTGTTTAAAGTCGATTATATTTTTCTAATCTTTTAAATTTATTTCTGTAGCTACAGTTCTTGCTTCATTTCTCATTGATTTTGTTTTTCAATTAAAAAATGATGTTAATTTTTATCCCTCTTTGAGTGTTCTAGAATAGATATTTTAGTGGTGGGACTATAATTTATCTAGAATGAATCAGTATTCTGATAGTTAATTTGTTTGACTTTCTTTCTTTTCAGTAATTCTGTAAAATGTGTTTTCCTTTGCAGATTTATTTTCGATTAGCGGATTTTTGTTTCTCTAGCTTTTTGTTTCTCCCCTTTGTTTTCCCTATCTTTTGACTTTGATTTTACCTTATTTGGGCTTCAGGACCGCCAGTTCAGAATTAGGCTCTATAATGGTGGTTGGTGGTCCTGTCTTCTGATAGTATTTAAAATGGTAAGGCTGTGTTTCTGCGTGGCGGGGGCCATAGCTCCCTGTAAGCCACTGTGACTTCACCATTGCTTACTGCTTGGTGGGTTTTTGTTCACAGAGATGTTTTGGGTTCACAGAGATGTTTCGGGTTCACAGAGATGCTTAGCTTATTTTCAAATCAGCTATGTGCTTTTGGTTTTCTCTTTTTGTGCTTCGTCTATTACCATTATGCATTTCAAACACAGGGTTTAAAAATATGAATTTATTATGTCTTGTTCACTGTAAGTTTTTGTATATCTTCAGTAGAAAATACTAAGCATAACTTCAACTTTTCTTCACGAGTTAGGTAACTGGTGTTTGAAAATTAATTATTGTATCATGCGATAGCACAGTTGTATTCTCAAAACATTTTTTAAGTAATTCCCCTTTCCGCTAAATAACCTCCAGTCAAATCACTAAAAGCTGCTTATGTTACTTCCTATGTATTTTTCAAATTTGTACTCTCCTCTCTGTAGCTACAGTTTCTGCCTAATTCAGACTATCATGAGATTCCTAATTTGTCTCCCTATCTTCAGGTCTGCCTCCAAAATATATATCCCATAGGCTCCTTCAGATCTGACCATTTTATGTCTCCTCTCCCCCAGGTGGAGGTCTAGCTTCCTACTGAGGCACACAAGCCTTACATGGCCTGATCTGTGCCCATCTCTAGTCTTCCAAATCACCTCGGTTCCCCACATGCCTCATGCACTTCCTTCTGCCCATAATTCTGGTCACTCTTTCCTATTCCTGAGCAATCCTACATATCTTTCAGAATTGATCTCAGGTATTCTTCATTAAACTCCCAGACTGGGCTAGTTTTAAACTTTGCTCAGTTTTGGGCACCAATGTTTGAGTTCCAGAAAAAGTTGCAAAGGTAGTACAGAGAATCCCTGTAAAATCTCCACTCAGTTTTAGTTTCCTTAATGTGATCATCTTACATTACTGATATATTTGTCAAAACTAAGAAACTAACATTAACATTGATACATTACTATGAACTCAACTCCATTTTTTTCCAGATTTCAACAGTTTATCTGTTAATGTCTTCCTGTTCCAGAATCCAATCCAGGATACTGCATTGCAGTCCTCGTGTTTCAGAATCCAATCCAGGATACCACAATGCATTTAGTTGTTATTTTTCTCAGTTTCCTCTTATCTCTAACAATTTATCAGCTTTTCATTGTTTTTCTTATTCCATTTTGTAACCCAGCAACTAAGTGACCTAAAGTAAAGTAAGTGAGAAAATAGAGAATAAATTATTCTGGTTTTGCTAGCTTTTCTGCATTCTCATTTTGCTATTTGCCCTTTATTTTCTAACTGCTACTAAAAATCGCTGCTTTGTACTGCACACAAATGATCTGGCTACCAGTCCCAGCAACTTTACCTCTGGACTTTATGTTAGCTACTTCTGGCTCATAGGCCTTTTCCATTTCTTCTGGGTCCACAGTAATTTCCTGGATGAATTTAATTAAAAGGTTTAGGCCTTTTAATTAAATAATTATTAATAAAGTAAATAAGATTAGAGGTTACAAAACTGAGAATCTAAAACATTTCAGAGGCACCATTCAATATAAGATCAAGTGGTAAGATGGGATTCCAAAATTTCACGGAGGTCTAGCAATGTAAATGCAGTAGATTTCATGTCCACAAGATGAGAAGACAGCAGACCCCTTTCAGTATTTAGTACCATCAGCTACTTGCTGGCCATAGGATGGAATAACAATGCTAAGGAGTGTCACTTTGTACAAGACAAACGTCTTTTAGGAGTTAATGCTAATATATGAGCTATGACCTTAGATCAAGCAGCAGTGAGAATGTGCCCCAGTGGAGTGCATATGACACTAGGACCAATAATTCACTACTGGATTTGAGGGAACAGCATAAAGCAGGCAAGAGAAAGAATTTTGAAAATATCTGCATGCAGTTGTGTAGTTTTAGGCCTAGATTGTTCACTCCTCTAAATAGTATCTCCAAGCCCTGTAAATGATAACTTTGTCCTAACAGACACACTTTTAGACAAAGAATCTCTAGTTTGGATGTATAAATTTTATTCCCTTAAAGTCTTCAATGATACTTAAGCCTGCCCTAAAAACAATGAATAAAAAAATTACTTGGTCTAACTGGATACAAAAAGTAATTTTATAAATTTACTAACAATATTCCAACAGACTTTTCACATTATCCCCTTTATAACCCTTTGACAAAAATACAATTTAGATAGATCACAGCTTTGGAAGTACCTGCAACTGAGAAATACAATAACAAAGATTATAGAGTTTTTCATGAACGTCATCCCCAAAGAGTTACAGCCAAATTATTTATAACCTATGGGGGGAAATAAAACTCAGGGTTGCATTTATATGTAATCTTATTGTCCTGAGGCCAGGCTTACTACAGAGAAACAAAGGCTTTTGCTCAAGATAGATGGTGGCCTTTTGGACAATACCTGTTAGCACAGTGATTGGTACAGTTACACCACCCTAATGATTATATAATTACATGCACACAAGTTAAAAGCCAAATCTGGAAACCTTGCACACCAACACCAGACACATAATTCACTACTAGCTCTGAAGGACAATCATTTGATTCTGTCTTTTTTCCTTGCATATGTAAATGGCAGTCAAACCCCCTATACCTTAATGACTAGTATAGAGCCTTTCACAGAGGAAGTAGATTGTCAAAAGATACTTCTTGGTGAAATATATGATGGTGAATCTAATTAATAAAATGATTTTTATGCAACATTCCTATGTCTTCCCAGACTCGAAGAATTATCCAACCCTGAGACTGAACCTGACAAATCTGAGCAAAAAAATGTTTATGCTTCACGAAACTACAGTGAACTTTTAGTAGTCAAATGAGTTTTCAGCTTTTGTTTTGGGGATAGGGAAATATCCTTTTAGGTGAGCCAATGGTACCAAGTTCATTCTTTTCCATTCCAACAAAAACTATCCCAACTCAGTCTCCTGTTAACTCTCACTGGACAGCTACAAATTGCTTTTTTGTTGAGGTCCTAGCCTCGGGTCTTTCCTTTACCTTAGAGCAGGGGCGTCCAATTTTTTGGCTTCCCTGGGCCACATTGGAAGAAGAATTGTCCTGGGCCACACATAAAAATGCTAACACTAATAGTAGCTAATGAGCTTAAAAAAAAAAAAAAAACAAGGAAGAAATAGCAAAAAAATCTCATAGTGTTTTAAGAAAGTTTAAGAATTCATTCTGGGCCACATTTGAAGCTCTCCTGGGCCTCATGAGGCCCATGGGCCGCAGGCTGGACAACCTTGCCTCAGGGAATATTATCTCCTTAGCTCTCTTTAAGCATAGCTCAGATCATTTGAGAGCTGCATGAGGAAAATTTTTAACAGATTTATTGAGGTATAATTGATATACAATACAGTGCACATATTTAAAGTGTACAATTTGGTGAGTTTTGATCTGCAAATTCTTCACCACAGTTGATAGTGAACATCACCACTACCTCTTGACAGCTTCTTCCTGCCTCTTTGTAATCTAGTCCACTAACCCTTCCCACCTCATTCCACCCTACTCCTGTCCCCAGCCAGCCACTTACCTGCTTTCTGTCACTATAGATTAGTTTGCATTTCATAGAGTTCTATGTAAGTGGAATCAAATGTATGTACTCTCTTTTTCTGGCTTCTTTCACTCAACATAATTATTTCAAGATTCATCCAATAGCTTCTTTTGTACAGGTTAGTGGTATTCCATTCTATGAATATGCCTCAGTTATTTATCCATTGGCTTGCTGATGGATAACATATAAATGTTATGGACATTTGAAATATTTTGAGTTTTGGCTTATATTAATGAAGCTACTCTAAATGAGGTACAAGTCTTTCTGTGGACATACTCTTTCATTTCTCTTAGGTAAATACAGGGGTTGAAATAGCTAGGTCATGGGGTATGTGTATATTTAACTATTTTTAGAAATTTCCCAACTGTTTTCAAAAGCGGTTTTGCCATTTTATATACCCATCAGCAATATGTGAGAGTTCTAGTGACTCCACAGCCTTATCATCACTTTGCATGGTGAGAATTTTTAATTTAAAAAATTCTGGCTGGGCACAATGACTCACTCCTATAATCCTAGCACTTTGGGAGGTTAAGGTGGGAGGATCACTTGAGGCCAGAAGTTCGAGACCAGCTTGGGCAATATAGTGAGACCCTGTTACTACAAAAAATAAAAAATAAAAAATCAGCTGGGTGCAGTGATGTGTGATATAGTCCTGGCTACTTGAGAGGCTAAGGCACGAGGATTTCTTGAGCCCAGGAATTTGAGGCTGACTAATTCCACTGAGTATACATTTGTGTCCTTATTTACCATCTCAATATCTTGTCTGGTGGACTGTCTATTCAAATCTTTTCCCCGTTTTTTGTAAATTTTTATTCTTTATATATTCAGGATATACATCTTTTATTAGATGTATTTGTAAATATTTGTAAATATTTCCTTCCAGTTTGTGGCTGGTCTTTTAATACCCTTGGCAGCATCTTTCAAAGAGCAGAAATACATAATTTTGATGAAGTTTGAATATCAAGTTTTTATTTGATGGATCATGCTTTTGGTGGTGTATCTGTGTCTGTTAATATTTTTCTATCTCTAAATCAAAATTTTCTAATGTGTTTTTCTGTAGAAGTTTTGCACTTTAAGCTTTTTATTGTAATAAAAAGATACAACATGTGATCTACCCTATTAATGCATTTTTAAGTGTACAGTACATTGTTGTTAACTATATGTGTATTGTGGTACAACAGTTCTCTAGTACTGTTTTGAGTGAGTAAAACTCTATACCTATTGAACATGAACTCCCCATCCCTTCTCAGCCTGGAAGCCTCAATTCTACTCCTATGAGTTTGACTACTTTAGATACTTCATATGGGTAGAATTATGCAGTATCATTTGTCCTTCTATGACTGGCTTGTTTCACTTAGCATATCTTCAAGTTTAATCCATGTTGTTGCATTTGACAGGTTTTCCTTCATTTATAAGGCTAAACAGTATTCCATTGTATGCGTATACCACATTTTCTTTATTCTTCAATGGACATGTAGGTTGTTTTCACCTCTTGGCTATTGTGACTAATGCTGCAATGAACATGGAAGTGCAAACATCTCTCCAAGATTCTGTTTCAAATTCTTTTGCAGAAATACTCAGGAGTTGAACTGCTAGGTCACATACATAGTAGTTATATTTATATAATATAATATATATAATATTTTTGAGGAGCATACATACTGTTTTCCACAGTAGCTGAACCACTTTATTTTTCCATCAACTGTGTAAAATTGTTTCGGTTTCTCCACATTTACACCACTTGTTTTGTTTTTACTTTTGATCCTGGCCATCCTAATACGTTTGATTTGATATCTCATAGCAGTTTTGAATTGCATTTCCCTGATTATTAGAAGTAAGAATCTTCTCATATACCCATTGGCCATTTTGATGTCTTCTTTGGAGAAATATCTGTTCAAGTTCCTTGCTCATTTTTTAGTTGGGTTATTTGGAATTTTTGCTATTGAGTTGTAGGAGTTGCTGGTGTACTTTGCATATTAATCACTTATCAGATATATGATTTGGAAACATTTTCTCTAGTTTTATAGGTTGCCTTTTACTCTGTTGTTTCCTTTGCTATACATAAGCTTTTAAATTTATATAGTCCTACTTGGCTATTTTTATATTTTTTGCCTGTGCTGTTGGTGTCATATCCAGGAAATTATTGCCAAGATCAGTGTTATAAAGCTTCCTCCTATGATTTCTTCTAGGAATTTTAGAGTTTCACATCTTATTTAAGTCTTTAAGCCATTTTGAATTATGTGCCTGGTGTCATATAAAGGTCCAATTTAATTCTTTGCATGTGGATATCTCATTTGTCCAGCACAATTTGTTAAAGAGATCATCCTTCCCCCACTGTATATTCTTGGCACCCTTGTCAAAAATTAGTAGACCCTATATGCATGAATTTATTTCTGAACTCTATTCTGTTTCATTGGTCTATGTGTCCATTTTTATACCAGTACTATACTATTTTGATTACTGTAGGTTTGCATTATGTTTTGAAGTCAAGAAGTATGATGCCTCCATCTTTGTATTTTTTCCTCAACATTGTTTGGTTACTTGGGGTCCTTTGTGGTTACATCTAAATTTTAAGTTTGTTTTTTCACATGATCTGGGATGCAAAAGCCTCTTACCTGATTTCTGGATTTACCATAAAGGGAATTGGTCCATGTATTGTTGAGTCAATGTCTCTGTGGGGAGAGAGAGATAGTCAGGGGCTTCCTATTCCACTATCTTGCTGATGTTATTGTTTTAAGTTTTTGCATTTATTCCTACAACCCATGAGTTAGTTTTTAAAAAATGCAATTAGATACACAGGGAAGTTGTTGTTGTTGTTATTCTTTATCTTCATATGGATGGTCAATTGTTTAAGAGATTATCAATTGTCCACTGAAAACAGCATTTAAAAAATCACTATTTGTGTAAGAGATTATCCTTTCTCTACTGAATTGCTGTTGTATTTTTTTTTGCTAAACTTAAGTATGGGTCTATTTATGTACTCTTTGTTCCACTGATCGATTAGTATGTCTTACTACAGTACAACACTCTCTTGATTACTATAGTTTTATGATATTTATTGAAGTCAAGGAATATAAATTCCATAGATTTGTTATTTTTTGTCAAAGGAGTATTGTCTTTCCTAGGCCTTTTGTATTTACATATGAATTTTAATGCTGGTATGTCAGTTTCTATTTTGATTGGGATTATGATGACTCTGTAGATCAATTTTGATGAGTTGACATCTCATTACTATTGTGCCTTTGAACTGTTAACACAGTGTAGCTCTCCACTTATTCAAGTCATCTTTGATTTCTCTCAAGAATTCAGTGCACAATTTTGGCACAATTTTGTCAGATTTATTCCTAAGTATTTCATATTTATTATATTATTGTAAATTTTTAAAATAATTAATTTCTTACTGTTCCTTGCTAATATGTAGAAATACAATTGATTTGTGTTTATGATCTTATATCTTACAATTTTTTCAGCTGACTTATTAGTTCTAGGAGCTTTTTTTTGTAGATTCAATAGAATTTTTTACACTGTTTTTAAAATAATGTCTTTGGTTTTGGTATCAGAGGAATACTGTCCTCATAGAAAGTTTGGAAATATTCTTTCCTCTTAAAATTTATGGAAGAGTTTTTGTAGGATAGATATTATTCCATTCACAAATTAGAATTCCCCATAAAGCCAAATAGATCTGGAGTCTTCTGTGTAGGAAAGTTTTAAACTACAAATTCATTCATAGATATTAAGTACTCATGTTATCTATTTCTTTGTTTGTGATCTTTTGTAGTTTTTGTCCTTAAATGAATTTTTCTATTTTCTATTTCATCTAACATTGGATATTTTACCTTGTACAGTGATGGATATTTTGTGTTCCCATGGATATTCTTGAGCTGTCTTCTGGAATTCAGTTAGGTTACTTGAAGTTTGATCCTTTTGAATCTGGGCTTTATGCTTCTTTTTGGGGCTATAGCATTGTTTAGCACTAATTTTGCTCAATCTGTGATACAAATCTCTTCTACAATTCTCTCTGATGTTCTATGAATTATTGAGATTTCTAATATGACTGCTATAAGCAGAAACTCTTCTTGATCTTGTTTGAGTTGTGGTTATTTTTCCATTTATTCCTTTCAAATGGCTCTTTTTCCAGGCCTAAATAATTTTTTTACACAATTGTGCTCATTACTACTTAGCTTACAATGCAATAGCAACTTCTGCAGATCTCTGAAGCATGCATATATTCTCTCTCTCCCTCTTTCAATGAATCTCTTTTTTTTCCAGTGCTCAGCCCCAGGAACTCTAGCCACCTTGACCTTCCTGGGCTCCTAGCTCTATCTCTGCAACTCAGAGACATTGCTGGTACCTGGGTTCCCCTCCCTTGCACTATAGCTGGAAATCTCTCTCCAAACAGTAAAGTTACCATCGTTGGAGTTGTCTTGTTTATTTTCTATCTCTTTGTGGCTACTGCTCTATGTTGCCTGATGTACCAAATATTTAAAACTATTGTTTCATGTATTTGTCCAATTCTTTGTTTCAGGCAAGAGGTTACATCTAGGCCCTGTTACTCCATCTTTTCCAGAAGCAGAAATCAGCATAAGAATTTCTAATATTTGTTCTGTAACTATTTATGTGCATTTTGTAAGTGAACTTCCATACAGAAGTGTGGACATAAGAACTACTATTTTAATTGAGGTGGAAGTTGGGCTCTATATACTCTCTCCCTTGACAAATATTCTTCTCATTTTTATAAACTTTGAGGCTTCTTTGTGTGATTTTTAAGCTTGTAATTAGGTCTGATTCAATAATCTGATGTGATAAAGCAAAATTCTCCATATTGTATCTCTAGCATGTTTTTCCAAACTTCTTTTTCATTGTTACTTTCTAAGCCTTATATTTCTGCCAATGAAACTACATTATGTTCATTGTATTATTAAGTTCTACCCTTTCGTGTGTCTGTATGCTTTTATATTGTTCCCTACACTTGAAATATTTTCTACCATTTCCACATGGCAATATATTGCAACACTAAGCTCAAAGAGCGCTTCCTAACCAAATCTTTCATAAAAATGCTTGTTTAAATAATTTCTACTGTTAGAATTTCATAGTATCAGTCTATGTTTTCTTATCCTACTTTGTATTTTATATGGCATCTGAGTGCAATTGTGAATCATCACTCTTTGTGTCTAATATCTGTAATATTTGTCATATAGGTAGTTAGTACCAAATATATTTGAATAAATAAATATACTTTAATGTATAAGGTGGTTATATAATGTCTTTTTTTTTCTATGCACAATATTAGCTAACATTTATATAGCACTCATTGCATGTCAGATATAATTATAAATGTTTTATCTGTATTTACTTATCAAAATAGCCTTGTGACGTATAAATTAATATATTGATTTTGTAAATGGCAAATGTTAAGTAACTTCACCAAGTTACTTTAAGTAGTGTTGCTGGGATTGGAACCAAGGCAGTCTAATTCTAGAGGCTACTCTATTAATCTCTGTGCTAAGTGCCTCTTAGATAAAAAATTAATACTTAATTTCCTATAGTATTAATTTGTTATTTTATGTATGCTTATCTTTTTTTACATATAGTTATTAAGCTGTTTGTGGACAGAACCACATTATATACTTTTAGATCCCTTCCAATCCATCCTGGACTGCAGCATAATTAATTGAACATAGAGATATTCAGTTTAAAAACTTTTTTATTTATTTATTTTATTTATTTATTTTTTAATTATACTTTAAGTTTTAGGGTACATGTGCATAACGTGCAGGTTTGTTACATATGTATACATGTGCCATGTTGGTGTGCTGCACCCATTAACTCGTCATTTACATTAGGTATATCTCTTAATGCTATCCTTCCCCTAGCTCCCCACCCCACAACAGGCCCCAGTGTGTGATGTTCCCCTTCCTGTGTCCATGTGTTCTCATCGTACAGTTCCCACCTATGAGTGAGAACATGGGGTGTTTGGTTTTTTTGTCCTTGCAATAGTTTGCTGAGAATGATGGTTTCCAGCTTCATCCATGTCCCTACAAAGGACATGAACTCATCATTTTTTATGGCTGCATAGTATTCCATGGTGTATTTGTGCCACATTTTCTTAATCCAGTCTATCATTGTTGGACATTTGGGTTGGTTCCAAGTCTTTGCTATTGTGAATAGTGCCGCAATAAACATACTTGTGCATGTGTCTTTATAGCAGCATGATTTATAATCCTTTGAGTATATACTCAGTAATGGGATGGCTGGGTCAAATGGTATTTCTAGTTCTAGATCCCTGAGGAATCACCACACTGACTTGCAGAATGGTTGAACTAGTTTACAGTCCCACCAACAGTGTAAAAGTGTTCCTATTTCTCCACATCCTCTCCAGCACCTGTTGTTTCCTGACTTTTTAATGATCACCATTCTAACTGGTGTGAGATGGTATCTCATTGTGGTTTTGATTTGCATTTCTCTGATGGCCAGTGATGATGAGCATTTTTTCATGTGTTTTTTGGCTGCATAAATGTCTTCTTTTGAGAAGTGTCTGTTCATATCCTTCGCCCACTTGTTGATGGGGTTATTTTTTCTTGTAAATTTGTTTGAGTTCATTGTAGATTCTGGATATTAGCCCTTTGTCAGATGAGTAGATTGCAAAAATGTTCTCCCATTCTGTAGGTTGCCTGTTCACTCTGGTGGTAGTTTCTTTTGCTGTGCAGAAGCTCTTTAGTTTAATTAGATCCCATTTGTCAATGTTGGCTTTTGTTACCATTGCTTTTGATGTTTTAGACATGAAGTCCTTGCCCATGCCTATGTCCTGAATGGTATTGCCTAGGTTTTCTTCTAGGGTTTTTATGGTTTTAGGTCTAACATTTAAGTCTTTAACCCATCTTGAGTTAATTTTTGTATAAGGTATAAGGAAGGGATCCAGTTTCACCTTTCTACATATGGCTAGCGAGTTTTCCCAGCACCATTTATTAAATAGGGAATCCTTTCCCCATTGCTTGTTTTTCTCAGGTTTGTCAAAGATCAGATGGTTGTAGATACGCAGCATTATTCCTGAGGGCTCTGTTCTGTTCCATTGATCTATATCTCTGTTTTGGTACCAGTACCATGCTGTTTTGGTTACTGTAGCCTTGTAGTATAGTTTGAAGTCAGGTAGCGTGATGCCTCCAGCTTTGTTCTTTTGGCTTAGGATTGACTTGGCAATGCGGGCTCTTTTTTGGTTCCATATGAACTTTAAAGAAGTTTTTTCCAATTCATTGAAGAAAGTCATTGGTTGCTTGATGGGGATGGCATTAAATCTATAAATTACCTTGGGCAGTATGGCCATTTTCACGATATTGATTCTTCCTACCCATGAGCATGGAATGTTCTTCCATTTGTTTGTATCCTCTTTTATTTCATTGAGCAGTGGTTTGTAAAAAACTTTTTTATTCATTAATAATTCTTCCTCTAATCATTTACTAATAACTTCTTATCCACTTATAAAAGCAATGTAGAATTACTTATAATAGCATATACAACTGCTTTCCCCAGCAAAACTATAAAACAATATGTAGTAAATATTGTTGAGTTTGCCTAGACTTTTTCTCCTCTTAACTTCCTAATGGCATTGCTGTTTCAGTTCCTGGAATTATCTATTCCACATTGTATCCACACTAGCGAGATTAAATCAGGTTCCTGTAACCACAAGTCAGTCATGGGACCCAAGCTTTTGCAACTTCATTTCCCTCTGACCAGACTGTCCTTCTTCCTAGATTATTGTTGTGATTCCTATTTTCAAGGCTGTAGAGTTGCCTTGGTTCCTGCCTCCCACCAAGCTTTATTCTCTGAACTCTCGATATTTCTGATGATTTTGCTTTTTGTGCAAATTAGCCAATTTGCACGAGATTGGAATAATTGTGGAAACAATTATGCAGTTGTGCAAACAGTTGTGCAAACAATTGTGCAAACAATTGTTTGTACAAAATTGGAACAAACAATTATAACTGACCTACAAGGATACAAGGGCAGAAATTAGAGGAGGCAGTAATGACATACTTCTTAATCTCAGAAAACCTAGACTGGAACAAATCAGGCAAAATTACAAAACATAAAAAAGCTTAGCTTTGAATTTTCTGAACACCAACATAAAAAACCCAAAGTTTCATAACTCTTTAAATTATAGGAAAGGGGATCAGATAAAATCATTGGGAGAGACCTCCTCCTTTTTTGCTTCGAACATTGAGTAAAACATGAAATGTCAGAATTTGTATGTAGACAATGAGCAATATAATGGCAGTACCTTCAGTAGCAGTTTCATCAAATTACTGCAGAGCGTTTCTTCATAAAACCATTTATTACATCAGCCCTCAATAAAAACTGAGGACATAAGGCTAAATCAAGTGCTGTGAAGACATTTCTATAATTTATTGATTTCCAATTACAGCATAAACCTGAGGAAAGCATGACAGACTTCCATGTGTCAGAACTGACACTTTTATCTCTGAAGTGCACACTGCAGGGAGAGAAAAACCTGAAAAAAAAAAGATTTTAAATACATTACGTTGTGAAATTATAGTTAAATATTAAAATTAGGTGCCTTTTCCCATTTTCCATAACATAATACTAAATATAATTACTTCTATATTACTTTAAAGTAACTACAAATATTTTATTGATGCATATAGATTTATGAGGATGTTTAGGGAGAAGCCATCTCAGTTAAACAGGAAAGAGTTCTTAATCTTTAAAATCTTAATTATAATCAGAAGGAAGCAAAAATCTTTAACTACTTACCATTTTGTAAACTCTTGTAACTTAATTTGTGAAATTCTCTATTTCTACTTTATATCATTTTAAAAAGAAATCTAATTAGAGATTTTTATCAAAAACACCTTAGGCAAGAATTCCCAAATGAGAAGCAAACAGAAAACTAAGCAGGAAGGTAAACTCTGATTGTAATAAGGAAACAAAATAAAAAGTATGCAAAAGTGTCAGTGAGACAACAACAGGCTTCTACAATTACACTCAGGAGGGAGATGGTGGCTTATGTATTGTCTCCTTTTTTAAATAAATGAGAAGGGGAATAAAATGCAGAATAATCAAAATGGTTGACACACAGCTCTTTAAAAATAGGTTTCCAATTTGCGCAAATGAAGAAATAACATTTTCTCTAAAGGCACATGAGGAAATACAAGTAATGAAGCAGTAGGCAAAATAAAATAGAAAATGTGAATGAAACAAAATGGCTTGTGTTTGAGGTATTGAAATCAACTAGGCTGATTTAATAACTTATTTGGGGGAAGCCAAATGGAATTGGAAAACAACAGAACTATTTCAAAAATTTGCCCACTTTTTAAAAGAAAGCAAGGAAGAACTATGAATTCTACCTAAATATTTATTACTAACCAATTCTGAAAAGTAATAAAATGAGATGACAGAAGGAAAGTGTACTGCTGCTAATAAAGAGAAAATAAAAAATGATAATGACTGGTGGCAATTATTTATTCCAGTTTTAAACATGCCTTATTCTCATGATCATATGTCATCATATGATCACTCATGGCCTCCAAAGCCTGAAATATTTACTATCTGGTCCTTTATAGAAAAAGTTTAGACTGGCAGTTAGCATTTGAATTATCTGCCCTTTAGTTATTTCATCCATGTGAGAAATGGAATAAAATCCATTAGAAGAAATTATTGTAAAGTACTTGACAATATTGGCATCTAATACACATTTGTCATGACAATGAGCAGCTTAGTAGTAGAAAAATGTCTTTTCAATTGGTTTGTTGCTGAAGGAATGTAGATACCTCTTGTTTTATAGTTTAAGTTCCAAAGTTTAATGTAGAGTAATAGTATTTTATTCCTCTCCTTTCTCGGTGATCTCAGGAGCATTTCCAAGTATTAACTAAGCCTCATGGCAAATATCATCCCCCTTTTACAAATACAAAAATTATAGCAGTGAGAATTTAAATTAGTTATTTAGGAGGATGTGGTAAAATGATAGAGGAAGTGGAAATAAAATTATCCTCATGAGTCGGTGCATTACTTCTTTGATTATTCTCCAGCTCTAGCACACAGATAAAATAATTTTATTCTCCAGCTCTAGCACACAGATAAAATAATTTTAGAATTGTTTCCATTTATTTTTCCTTCTCCTGTGATAAGGGTGGAAAGAATATTTACTGGGAAAGTTGTGACTGTTTCACCCATTACAATCAATAAAACTAATCTACGAAAGAAAACTTGACCAACAATTCATTCATTCTTAATCTTCCCTAAAATGTGTGAGTCTAGTTAGGACCAATTTTTTTTTTAAAAACGTAGTTTTTGAGGAAATTGAAATGACCTGAAACAGAATAAAGAAAGATTTTAACAAATCTTGAAATGTGGTAAAACTTCTCTTTCATTTCTTATTGAAATGTCAGGACCCTGGTTGAACCAAAGAAAACATTTATGTATATTGGGTTGTGGGGCAAGGAGAAAGGATTTCTTAATTTTTATTTCATTCTATAAGAGTAGAATGAGGCCACCAAATCACTAGGATGAAAGAAGGAAGAGCCTGGAGGATTATGTTTCTTCTTGAGCCTGAAGCACATTATCTTTCAAAATCTGAAATTCTGCTCCTTTGTCAAAGCACAGTTCAGAGGCTGAGCCCAGCATAAAATGTTCTGCTTTAGAAGGCTTATTATACCTTCCTCTATGCTCCCTTAAAATTCTGTTGAACCTCTATCTCAGTGGCTCACAGAGTCTGGTCCCTGGATCAACAACATCAGCATCACTTGAAAACTTGCTAGAAATGCAAATTTTCAAACAGCCACTTGTCCACCCCACAGTCCACTGAGTCAGAAACTCAGGGGATGGAGTCCAATAATCTGTTAGCAAGTCCTTCAAGTGATTCTAATGCCCACTAAAGTTTGAGAACCATGGCTACCACAATTTGTATTTCATCTTGTATTTTGTTATAGTTTGCATTTTACTCCAAGGGCTCTCCAAGACTGCAAGTGTGTCTTACTCATTTTTTAGAATGAATAAGACATTCTAAAAATGGAACGATTCGATTTTTAGAATCCTGCATTCCTCATATTGCTAAGACCATGGAGTATTTTGCACTCAGTAGTATTTTGCACTCATAGTATTTTGCACTCAGTAGTAACTCAATGAATGCTGTTAAACTGATATCACACTTGAATTTGTCCTCTCTGTTAGTATATAATATTAATAGTATTTGTGAAATATATACCATTTGATAATTTTCCTAGTATTTGAGAAAATAATGTTCTATATTTTCTCTTGATCATATGAATCCTCAGAAAGTAATGCAATTTTTCACAGTCTGGTTTTCCTTGTACGATCCAGAGAAGGTTCCTCTATGATTCTGCCATGTGCTGCTTATCTTGGTGAAAGTGTAATGATTAAGAATACAAACTCTGAAACCAGACTAACAGGAATTGTATCCCAGCTTTGTCACTTTTTCTCTGGGCTTGTTCAAGTTACTTAACCTTTTTATGCCTGAGTTTCTGTCTGAAAAATAAGGTATAATGTCCACTTTGTTAAGTTGCTATGAATTTTAAAAATAAACTTAAAAATAAACAATAAAAAACTTGTCAAATAATTAGTAAATATTTGCTGTTATGTATTAGTTTTATTATTATTAACTTGAAGAAAGAACACATGGAAATTTATTACTGTGAGTAATCATAATGAGCTCAACTAGTTATTCTAAAAGTAGCACGTAATTTCTATACGATGAAAGAACATAATGTTTCTATACTAGGAAAAATATATCTGGACAACTGTTTATTTTCTAAATTGTCCAATTGAGAAAATTACTTCTTTCTAAAAAAAACTGAGTTGTTACAAATACCCTTATAAAGAGACAGCATGCTACCAGAGGAAGAACAGTAATCTTGGAATCAGAAGGACTGAGTTAGAGCCCTACTTCTATTCTGATCATAGTTAGTTTTTTATTTTAGGTGATAAATACAAGGTACAAGTTACTTAGCAAAACTGAACTTCAGTTTTCTACCTCTGTAAAAATAAAAGCAGTAATACCTTATAAACCAGTTAATCTCATAGTTGTTATAAGAAACAAAAAATAATTACCATGAAAATGCATCATAAAATATAAAGTGCTGCATAAATACAAGGTGTCTTGTTGCTGTTATTATTATTATAAAATTGAACTACTCTGCTACTCATTATTTGTTAATGTGTTCTCTTGTGTTGCATGGACATGGTTTATTGTTGGTGGTTCAAGTTGAGAGCAAGTGGAGTAGTATTCTTCATGATGTAGTCACATCCCTTAAGAACTAGGTTCAGAATTTTGAAACATTTCACACTGGCTAATAAAACACTATTGGGCACAAATGACTTCTGCTCTGACAGCTGACCCTGCTTGGATTTAAATTGGTGTCCATGAGGCATAAGACATTGCAGTGTATCATGCAGGGCCATCAGATGCTTTGCCTTTGAAGACAAACGTATTTCCTAGCCTACCGTCACTACAGTTCTAGTTAATCAGTTCCCTGGTGCTTCTCTTTATGACTCCAGGCTGTTCAGTAGTTCTGTGGTAAAACTACATTCTAACAGGGCCTTTGATTTTATTTGAAGTTTTCATGCTTTTGCTTGAGTTTTCTATGTCTTAATATTTATGAATGGTGCCCCAAACTTGATGGTAGTTTTAGAATCAACCTAGAAATCTCCTACTATCTCTGATATGGCTGGTTTTCTAAATGAAATCCTTCCCTTTGATTACTTTTGAAGTTAAATTAACAGAATATAATACACACATCTCAGATTTGGAGATTCTCTTGCTCTGTAAATTTAGAACCAGCCTGAGCTTCCATGAAGCCTGGGGCCCATTTCTCCCTCCCTACATGGGACAGCAGTATTCCTGCAGTGGAGTGTGGGCCAGCCACAGAGCTGTCCGTTTTGGGTGAGAAAAAAGGGATTCTGCCCTGAAGTCATTTCAGTTGTAGCTGTAGGACAGGCATTTTCCAGGGATTTCAGTTACATTGTGGTCTGGAGATAAAGGACAATGTCTATCTGAACTGAAAGTCATGAACCCTGGAAGAGGAGTATGATGAGAAGAGGATCACTTTCTTGCCTGCCAAGTATATGAGGCTGCTGCAGCCCCCTTCCCACTCTCTGTGGAGACCTCAGCTCATCTGACTATGAGTTCCCCCCTGTAGTGCCCATCAGGACAGGTGCTTCTGCTCCTCTTTTGGGTAGCTGAGGGCAAGCTGGCTTTTACTCATAAACATCACCTACTAGACTGCAGATCAAACCACACCACCAAATAAAAAAGCCTGCTGACAGAGGGCATAGTGATAAGGAAGACGATAAGCTCCCTGAGACCTCCATACTTCCAGCCCTGAAGAAGAGAATGAATCTGCTCATATTCTGAATACATTGCTACTACAATTAACATTGAGAAAGCCACTACACAAAAGCTATCTATAACCAAGGAACTTCTACAGAGCCTTGGCCCCCTGAAAGAACCTGTAATCAAAACAATCATACACAACATACATTACAGCACACCCTCAAGAGGAGAAAAGAATCCCATCAAAATGAAAGTAAAATAAAAAATAAGAAGTAACAGCTTATTCAGATGAGAAGGAATCAGTGCAAGAATTCCAGCATTAGAAAAAAATAGAGTGTTTTGATACCCCCAAAGAATCACATTCGCTCTCTAGCAATTGATATTAACCAAAATGAAAATTTTGCAATGACAGATAATTCAAAATATGAATTGTAATGAATCTCAGTGAGATCTAAGAGAAAGTTGAACACTAACACAAATAAGAAAAATAATTCAGAATATAAATGAAACATTTACTAAAGGGATACACTTAAAACAAATCTTCTGGAAATAAACTATTTATTATTTATTTATTGAAGGAATTGCAAAATATAGTTGACAGATGCTAGAGTGAGCAGAATAAAAATTTCAGAACTTGAAGACTGGTACTTTCAATTAACTCAGTCAGATGACAATAAAGAAAAAAGAAGTTAAAACTAAACAAAGGATTCAGGAAATAGGGCATTATGTAAAGCAACCAAACCTATGAATTATAGATATTCTGAGGGAGAAGAAGAAAAAGTAAAAAGCTTGGAAAACATATTTAACAAAACAATTCAGGAAAGCTTCCCTGGTCTAGCTAAAGAATTGGACATTCAGATACATGAAGCTCAGAAAATGCCTGGGAGGTACTCTGCAAGATGAACCTCATCGAAGCATATAGTCATGAGACTATTCAAAGTCAATGTGAAAGTAAAAATCATAAAAGCAGCAAGAGAGACACATTTAATTACTTATAAAGGAAATCCTATCAGATTAACAGCAGACTTCTCAGCAGAAATGTTATAAACTGGAAGAGAGTGGGGGACTATTTTCATTTTTCTTAAAGAAAAAAATACATCAGCCATGAATTTTATATTCTGCTAAACCAAACTTCATAAATGATGGAGAAATGAACTCTTTCCCAGATAAGCAAACACTGAGGAAATTCATCACCACTAGACTGGTCCTGCAAGAAATGCTCAAAGGAGTTCTAAACATGAAAATGAAAGAATGATACTAGCAATCATAAAAGTACGTGAAAGAACAAGGTTCACAGATCCCATAAAGCAATTACAAAATTAAGAGTACAAAAGAAGTAGGTAGCAATTCATATTATGACAGGAACAAAACCTCATATATCAATATTAACCTTCAATGTAAATGGTCTAAATGCTCCACTTAAAAGACAAAGAATTGCAAATTGGATTAAAGAAAAAAAAAAACAAGATCCAACCCCACACTGCCTACAGTAAACCCACCTAACAGGTAAAGACATCCACAGACTCAGAGTATAGGTGTGAAAAAAGTTATACCATAGAAATGAAAACTAAAAGTGAGCAGTAATAGCTATGCTAATATCAGATAAAACAGATTTTAAATAAAAAAACAGTTAAAAAAAGACAAGGTCATTATATGATAAAGAGTTCTAGTCAACAAGAACATACATAACAATCCTGAATATATATGCACCCAACACCAGAACACCAAGATTCATAAAACAAATACTACAATCTCACAAAAAGAGATAGAAAGCAATACAATAATAGTGGGAGACTTCAACACTCCACTGGCAGCATTAGATAAATCACTGAGAGAGACAATTGACAAAGAAACTCTGACTGAAATTGGACTCTAGACAAAATAAACCTAATAGACTATTACAGATCATTTTACCCAACAATTGCAGAATATACATTTTTCTAATCTACTCATGAAACATTCTCCAAAATAGACCATAAGCTTGGCCATAAAGCATCTTAATACATTAAGAAAATTCAAAGTCATATTGCATATCTTCTTAGACTACAATCGAATAAAATTAAAAATTAATATTAAGAGGAACTCTTAAAACTATACAAATACATAGAAACTTAACAACCTGCTCTTGAATGATCTTTAGGTAAATGATGAAATTAAGGCAGAAATTAAAACAAAATGAAACAAATGAAAATAGGGCGACAACACACCAAAACTTCTGGGATACAGCAAAAGCAGTGCTAAGAGAAAAGTTTATAGCATTAAATGCCTACATGAAAAAGATCTCAAATTAACAACCTAATGCTGCACCTCAATGAACTAGAAAAACAAGACTAAACCAAACAGAATGCTAGCACAAGCAAAGAAATAACAAAGATTAGATCAGAGCAAAATTATATTGAGAATAAAAAATGATACAAAGGATCAATGAAAGAAAAGTTTGTTCTTTGAAGAGATGAGTAAAATTTGTAGACCTCTAGTTGGATCACCAAGAAAAAAAAGGAAGAAGATTTAAATAAGCACAGTAAGAAATAATAAAGGCGAGATTACCACTGATACCACAGAAATACAAAAGATTATCACAGACTACTATGAGCATCTCTATATGCAGAAACTAGAAAAGCTAGAAAAAAAGGATGAATTCCTGGAAACATACTACCTCCAAAGATTAAACCATGAAGAAATTCTTAACAGACCAATAATGAGTAATGACATTGAATCAGTAATAAAAATCTCTCAGTTAAAAAAAGCCCAGGGCCAAATGGATTCACAGCCACATTTTACCAGATGTACAAGGACTGGTGCCAATTTTGCTGGAGTTGTTCCAGAAAATTGAGGAAGAGGGATTCCTCCCTTATTCTATGAAACCAGTACTACCCTGATATTAAAATCAAGCAAGGGGACAACAAAAAAGAAAATTACAGGCCAATATATCTGATAAACATAGACGCAAAAATCCTCAACCAAATACTAGCAAACAAATTCCAACAGCACATCAAATAGATAATTCACCATGATCAGGTGTGTTTTATCCTAGGGATGCAATGATAGTTCAGCATACACAAATCAATAAATGTGATTCACTACGTAAGTAGAAGTAAAACAAAAACCATGTGATCATCTCAATAGATGCAGGAAAAACATTTGAGAAAATTCAGCATCCCTTCATGATAAAAACCTTCAACAAAGGCATCAAAGGAACATATCTGAAAGTAATAAAAGTCACATATGACAAACCCACAGCCAGAATCATATTAAATGGGGAAAAGCAGAAAACATTTCTCCTAAGAACTGGAACGAGAGAAGGATGCCACTTTCACCATTCCTATTCAATATAGTACTAGAAGTCCTAGCCAGAGAAATCATTCAAGATAAAGAAAAAAAAAAAGGCATCTAAATTAAGAAAGAGGAAATCAAATTATTTCTGTTCACTAGTAAGATAATCTTATACCTAGAAAATTTTAAAGACTCTGTCAGAGGACACCCAGATTTGATAAATGACTTTAGTAAAGTTTTAGGATACAAAGTCAAGGTACAAAAATCAGTAGCATTTCTATACACCAACAAGGTGAAAGCTGTGAACTAAACTAAGAACTCAATACCATTTACAATAGCCACACAAAATAATAAAATACCTAGGAATACGTTTAACCAAGGAGGTGAAAGAGCTCTACAAGTGGAACTACAAAACAATAATAAAGAAGTCATAGATGACACAAATGAAAAAAAATCTCATGCTCATGAACTGGAAGAATCAATATCGTTAAAATGACAATACTGCCCATAACAATATACAGATTCAATGCAATTCCTATTAAATTACTAACAATTTTTCACAGAGTTAGACAAAAGCAATCCCAAAATTCATATGAAATCAAAACAGAGCCTGAATAGCCATGGAAACCTTAAGCAAAAAGAACAAAGCTGCAGGTGTCACATTACCTGACTTCAAACTATACTACAAGGCTATAATAACCAAAATAGCATGGTACTGGTACAAAAGTAGACATATAGATAAATGAAATAAAATATGTACCCTAGAAATAAATCCACATACCTACAACCAAGTGATATTTAACAAAGTTGGCAAAAATATATTCTAGAGAAAGGACAACCTATTCAATAAATGGTGCTGGAAAAATTGGATAGCCATATGCAGAAGAATGAAACTGGACCTCTATCTCTCACTATATACATAATTAACTAAGATGAATTAAAGGTTTAAATGTAAGACCTGAAACTAGAAAAATTCTGGAAGAAATTCTAGAAAAACCTCTTCTGAACATTGGCCTATGCAAAGAATTTATGACTAAGACCTCAAAAGCAAATGCACCAAAAACAAAAAAAGACAAATGGGACTTAATTAAGCTAAAAACTTCTGCACAACAAAAGAAACTATCAACACAGTAAAGAGACAACCTACAGAATGGGAGAAGATACTTGCAATGTATGTTATCTGACAAAGGGCTAATATGCAGAATCTATAGGGAACTCAAACAACTCAACACCAACAAAAATAACCCCATTAAAAAGTGGGCAAATAACGTGAACAAACACTTCTCAAAAGAAGACATACAAGAAGCCCAAAAACATATGGAAAAATGTTCAACATCAGTAATCATAAGAGAAATGCACATTGAAATCACAATGAGATGCCATCTCAAACCAATCAGAATGGCTTTTATTAAAAAGTCAAAAAACGACCAGTGCTGGTGAGAATGTGAAGAAAAGGGAATGCTTATACACTGCTAGTGGCAGAGTAAATTAGTACAACCTCTTGGAAAACAGTACAAAAATTTCTCAAAAAATTGAAACTAAAACTGCCATTTGAACCAGCAACCCCACTTCTGGGTATATAACCAAGGGAAAAGAAATCTTTATATCAAAAGTACAACTGCATTGTATGTTTATCACAGCACTATTCTCAAAAGCAAAGTCACAGAATCAACCTAGGTGTCCATCAATGGATGATTGGATAAAGAAATGATGATATATATACATTATGTAATACTACTGAGTCATAAAAAAGAATGAAATCATGTATTTTGCAGCAACACAGATGGAGCTGGAAGCCATTATTTTATGTGAGATAACTCAGAAACAGAAATCAAATGCTCATTTATAAGTGGGAGATAAAAAATGGGTACACGTGTACATACAGAGGGGAATGACACACACTGCAGACTCCAAAGGGGAGGGCAGAAGCAGAGTAAGGGTTGAAAAATTATCTACTGGGGGCCGGGCGCGGTGGGTCACACTTGTAATCCCAGCACTTTGGGAGGCCAAGGTGGGTGGATCACGAGGTCAAGATTGAGACCATCCTGGCTAACACGGTGAAACCCTGTCTCTACTAAAAATACAAAAAAAAATTACCCGGGCGTGGTGGCGGGCGCCTGTAGTCCCAGCTACTTGGGAGCCTGAGGCTGGAGAATGGTGTGAACCTGGGAGGCGGAGCTTGCAGTGAGCTGAGATCGCGCCACTGCACTCTAAACCTGGGCGACAAAGCGAGACTCTGTCTCAAAGAAAAATTATCTATTGGGTACACTGTTTACTAATTAAGTGATGGGTACACCAAAAGCCCATACCTCACCACTACACAGTATATCCATATAACAAACCTGCCTACGTACCCCCTGATTCTATTTTTTTTTTTAAAGAATGACTCTAAGTTTTTTGGTGTGAGCCATAGGAACGATGATAGTACCATTCCTTGAGAAGGAGAATAGTCATGAGGAGGATGTCTGAGGAGAGAATAAATAATTAATTTTGGTTATAATACATATAAGTTGGCTATTGTATATAGAACATGTGCAACTAATGCAACTGTTATTTTATTTACAGAAATCTATAGTTCAGGAGATAAATCATTGCTTAGTATACAAATATTGAGTTTTCATTGAACACATATACTTAAGCCATGGGATTGGGTAATATAGAGATGGAGACAAGGATAGGGAGGGAGGAAGGGGAGAGAGACAGAAAGATGTACCTGGGTGAAGGGCTTAGATGCAGCAGCAAAGTCATTGAATGAAGAAGGAAAGAAGCCAGGGTATAAGGAGAGTATTTGGATTTACACAGGATAAGGGACAGTGTGTTTTATTAGAATGGGAGAGAAAGGAGAACATTTACATATACATGCAGAAAGGCCAGCAGGCAGATTAGGCTGTGAGAAGATTATCTTTAACTGAGAGGGAGGAGGGGGCGTGGATATTGGCAGTTGGAATTGAGAGAGGTTCTGAAATAGCATTTTGGTTTGTGGGAGAACCAAATTACTTGACACATGCTGAGAATTGACTTGAGATTTGTGCTTAAAAATATTAGATAAACTCGGTCAGGAGGGTTGAGTGCTTTCCTTCTGCCATTCTCTGATGCTCAGATGCAGGAATGGATTAGCCAGACAGTTGGATTTAGCCTGAACTCACATTCTGTCAAGTGGTTATCATAGAGAAAGAAGAACAAGAAAGCGGAGGGGATATGAAAAGCAGTGATTAGCAATTATAGGGAACATTCTACTTTATCGTGTAATGTGAAAATGTATGATGTCCGTCAATATTCCTACACAGCACAATTTATAATATACCCAAAATGTCCCATCAGTGCATAATCATTTTTGATGGGTGTCAAAGTCAACAGTCTCATTTTTTTCTAGTAGAACTCTTCCCACCTTCAAACATGTAGAATATACTACAATAAGTTGGGATTGCTTTTTCTGTGCTTACTTCAATAAACATTTATGGACTATCTTACTAGGTACCAAGGGCCTTTTCTCTACAATCAGGTTAACCAGTGACTTTTAAAACTGATTGTTCTTGATCAGGACAAAGTGTTTTTCTTCAGTGCAGAATCTGGCCCTGTGAAAAATCCAGAAGGCATGCATTGAGTGGAAACCATTGAGGAAAATGCTGTTACTGTCTTGGAAAAGAAAACTGCCCCATTAGACCCACCAGTGTTCTTTTTGGGTTAGTAGGTGCCCCTGCCTCTGTTTTTCCTTCTCAGATGCAATGAATACTGTTCTGTGGTTGCTGCAGGAAAGCAAATCATACTAGAATAAATCAAATCCTTAGCAATAGACAAAGAGATTCACGTTCCTAGCAATTGATGATAGGATAATGTGTGGCTGACTTCATAACATGGCGGCAGTCAGGCAGAATGTGCCAACTGTTATGAAATAAAATGTAATGAGCCAACTACAAAAATAGGTTTGAACACCGCAATGTAAGGAAAACAGGAGGCTGAGAAGGGAAAGTGGCAGGGCCATTGGAAAGCCACACATTCGAGCTTCCATTAGACTTGGCTGAGGATGGGGATGTGTTTGATGGTAGTAGTGTGAACTATTTAAGGATAATTTAAGTCGACTCAGGTTTATTTAGGTGCTTTTTTTCCTTTATGTACTAGCCTGCCATTATGAATAAGGATTCTAATATTTTAGAGGGTCTTTTGCTTTTATAACCAAAATTACTAACTCTTTTAGGCCACTAAGAAAACATTTAACTGATTAGTGTTGTTGAGGTGAAGCAAAACAGCCTTGAATGCCTGTTGACCAAAAAGAAACAGGGCTTTAGCTCCCTCTAAAAGTGATCTGAGATGTGGACAATCATTGTATTTACTTCAGTATTCCATTTGGCTAACGGCACAGCATGATATTTCACGGCCTGAAGGTAGGAGGAAAAGTCTCCGCATAAAGAAGGCAATAAACAGCTAAGGAACTAGGAAGCTCTCCTTAATCTCCCTCTGGCAAACCAAGTAAGGTGGATTGTAAAAGCCTGACTTGAAGCCACACTGTTTTGAATGTAAAGACAAGGCTCAAATGTTCTTAATTCACTCCCAGGGAGCACTCAATCCAGCTGACTGTAACATAAGGAATTTAATAAAATAAAAGCAAGTTATCTAGTCAAACCTCCTGCTGCATTTTTTATAATATCAAAATGAAAATAGGCTTAATTTGTTGTTGTAATCAAATTCATTACAACAGCCAAACATGTTTTATGCTGTTCCCCCCTTGGATATTGTATTGCTGCTGATAGTATGAATTGGAAGGGGGTAAAATTATTCACTTGTTGAATGCAAATTAATTCATGGCACTGAGGTATCATTCACCAAACCTCACAGGTGGCAATTTATAAAATAGTCATTTCAAAATGGAACCATAATGGCTAGGCTGAGTTTTTTCTTTATTTTAATTTATTTAATAAGGAGCATTTTATTTTTGTTTAATAAAGAGCTCACTGGACAACTTTATATGAAATCTTATTGTAGGTCCAACATAAGGAGCTGTTTATCCATGCTGTCACTCTAAGTGCAAAAGGTTAGATTCCTAATTATCAGATAATTACAATATATGATGCTTTTCTGCTGCTATGTGGGCTTACCTAGGATGATAAAAGTGTATCCACTGCGCATGAGGCTGATAAATGAGACAAAGTGAGCACACAAGCAACTGAAGCTTAAAGAACACAGTAGATAACAGAAGAGTGGCAGATTAAAAGAGTTATGAGAGTTCAGATGAGTGAATTCAAGCTGTTCCTTAGCTCTATTAGTGTTACATTATCCCTTTTAGAGAATTTAATTTTTGCCACTTCCTACATGTACTTCCTACATGGTGTATATTTCTCATCTCTCATTTGCTTTTTTGAAGATTGTAATTAGCGAGGTTTCATTAAAAATAAGTGAAGAAGTAGAATTAATTCAGGCAATTAGGCTGGCTCATTGGGGCTGTGCTAAAGATAACGAACAAGCTGATACGTGTAGAAAACATAAGGGAAAGATATATGCAGAATAGGGAGTGATTTGTACATGCTGTCTTCTAAACTTCCCGAATGATGACAGAGCAGGGGTTGGCTAAAAAATGTTAAGCATGAATAAGGTACTGACATACTGACAGATAGAAAATTACTTTTAGTACATAATAAAAACCATCTGTCAAGACAGAAGATTTAGAAGACTGAGAAAATGGGTGGGACATCCGCATAGATAGATGAATAAGTCACATTGTGTGTCTATAGAATGACATTTGATGATTGTTACTTTATGCATTAGCTGATGTCCAATTGAGGAAAGAGCAACCTCAAAATAAAACAGAGATACAGACTACAGCCAGCTTAGCATTCTGTGAGGTGAGTTCTTAACTTCTCTAGTCACTTGTCTAGGCATCCTGGGGAGACATTTGTTTGGACTTGCCGCATTGTAGGTTGTATGTGTGTGTGTGTATGGTGGGAGATGGAATGTGGGTGTCTCTCCTTCAAGCCAATGAGTAAAATTAAAAGATCATCTGTCTGCCGCCTTCCTCTCCCTCCTTATATCCCTCTATTTTGTGTTGTGGTGGTGTTCTCTCGGTAAATAGAAATGTAGGACACTGATTTCAGAGGAGCCTTCCTTTGTCTTTGCTTCGGTTCTTAAGTAGTCTTGGGATAAAATAATCAATTATTTACCCTAAACAGGGCTTTTGAAAGTCAAAGCTCACATAGAATTTTAGGATTTGGATTAACAGAGGAAGAAGTGACCACAGAGTTGATTTGATGAGGAGAATAGAATAGTGTATGTCAGCCAAGACAAAATGTAGCCAAGTTATCAGGAACCCGTAGAGTACAGATGGTCTCTGACTTACCGTGGTTTGACTTAGGATTTTTCAACTTTACAATAGGTTTATTGGAATGTAACTCCATCAAAAGTCAAGGACCCCCTTAGGACTTATAATGGGGTTATTGTTTCTACTGAATGTTATTGCATTCACATCCATAAAATTGAAAAAATAGTAAGTCAAACCATCCTAAATAGAGGATGGTTTGCTCTGTTGCCAGGATAAGGTGCATTTTCAACTTACAGTATTTTTTATTTACAATGGACTTATTGGGACGAAACCCCATTGTAAATCAAGAAGCACTTATGCTTTGAATATGAAATAGAAATAATAGGTCTTTCTAACTCAACCTCCGAGTACTGCTATTCAATTGTAAGCCATCAGCACACTGACAGAAGGAATTGCAAGCACAGTAGCCTTATCAGCTATATGGGAACATTTACTCAGTAGCTCATAATCTAATAATAATAATAATAATACCATATATATCTATGGAAATTTAAAATATAAACCAATCTTTCACATATATTATTTTATTATTTTGAACTATATAGTAAATTTATATGGCAGGAAAACTACAGCCACTATCCCCTGGTTACAACTCATAATCTGTATGAAACAATATCAGCCCATATTATATTGGACATCAATAACTAATTTATTGTCTTTGTGAATATATCTGTAGCACTGTATTTTGTAGGATTAGGAATGCCACATACTATTCTGAAAACCAAAGAGTGAAGACAGCAATTAAATCACACAGGAAAACAAAGCAATTAGAAAGAGAGCTAAAGTTAGAACTCAAAACTCTTACTCTTATTCTGATGTTTACAAGAAAGATGGTTTCCAATAATTATACAATGTAGAAGTATGAGCTTCTGTGTATACATGGTAGACTATGACCATTTCCTTCTCAATTCAATATTTAACTACACATTAGCATAAGACACAAGTTAAAATTATCATTAACTTCCCAGTCAGTGTGTACATTCTTGTTTATAACTTTAAACTATTTCATTCTAAAAGAATAAAAAAGACCAGAGGCAGCAGCAAGATTTAACTGGACATATTTTTAGGTAAATGATGCATTCTATTTCAACATTTTCTGTTTTGTAATCAAAACTCCATATCAGCACTTAAAATATAAGGGTATTAGATGAATGGCATAGAACAGATAAATTATCCTCAGGTGCCCTTTCTGGCATCATAAATGAGTCATTTTAGAAAGAACTTTTTATATCAAAGCTTTTACAAAGAGCTAGTTCAGGAAAACATTTGGTATTTATAATAACTAGTATTTCTAAAACTGCAAAGCCCACGTTATATTAAAAAAAATTCTCACTTCTCAGAAATTTGAAGAACCCCTAGAATGCTAAATGCAAAGCTATTTTAAATAGTGCAACAGACCAGCAGTGAGAAAAAGCTGTAGCATGTTTCAGGAGATAGGAGTGATTACAAGCTCTGGGCCTATCACTGTCTAGTTGTATAACCTTGAGCAGGAAATGATGTCTCTAAACCTCAACTTCTTCATCTGAAATAAAAAGGAGTAGGCTAGATAACATGTAAACACCATTTCAGCTTTAATAATCTCTGGCCATAAAACCTATATTTTATAGTATTACTTGGCAGATCAGAATCCTATAAAGTAATTTGATTCCCTCAGCAGCCTGTGGATATAAATAAGTTTATTTTAGCATTTCTGCTCACATTTCACTGAGCATTGTTTCTTTTACCTTTTCACAACAGACTTCAGTCCTCTGAAAAGGTCACCTTTGTATTTCTGGATGTTGCTAAGATGTCTTACATATGCCTGTGGATAAATCTCAGCCTGCCGAAGCTCTTCAAGCTTTGCTGTTGCTCTGATAGCCAATTGCCACCCTGTCCAGTTACTGTCTCCTGCAATTCCTAACCTGGAGACCCATGAGGGGCAAAAATCATGCTGTGTTTCTTGTAGGTGGGGTGTCACTGCATTAGAAGTAGTTTAGAAACACCTTTTCCTCAGGAGGCTTTGGACTCACCCCATGGGGCCTGAGCTGTGAAGGCTTCTTCATTTTCCTGTGTCTGTCTTTTACGGCCACAGAATCCATGCATAAATATTCCTCACTGGTTCCATTTCCTCTTACACAAATCAATGTATGTAGATTCCTGAGAGGTTGCTGACCCCATAAAAGCAATCTGAATTTGGACCAAGTCAAGGCCTTCTCTGGTAGTTGTGTCTATTGGTGGGAACTAATATTTTAAAACAGTGGATACACCCCCTGCAACAAATTCTCTTCAGTCCTCCTAATAAAAGGGAGAAGCATCTAACATGAAGAAGCCTGCACTCAGATTAGAAGTGTCTTGTTTTGGAGTCATGTGAATTTTCCTTGTTTTAGGGTCATGTTAATGAAAGAGGTTCTTTCATTTAAGATTTACTGTTAGGACACCCTAAATTTTATAATCATTATCTGTGGTATGGGGTTGCTGCCAGCAAGTAAGTGCTTATAAATGTGACTTCAATTTCAAAAAAGAGAACGTAAACTTCTATAGCAGTCAGTAAGGTGTTGTGGAAAGACTGAAATTTTCAGTCAGACGTGTGAGATCAAATCTTGTCTGCACCACTACTATAGAGAAAATTATTTATAGCTTGAACCTCCATTTTCTCACCCATCAAATGGAGATAATAATGCATAACTTGTAGAGCTTCTTTGAAAACCAAATGAGCCAACGCATGTAAAGTGCTCAGTACAGTAAGCTTTAACAAATGTGATATATCTGAAGGGACCCTCTCAATGGTTGGTGATATGGTTTGGCTCTGTGTCCCCAGTGAAATCTCATCTCAAATTGTAATCGCCACGTGTCAAGGAAGGGACCTGGTGGGAAGTGATTGTATCATGGGGGTGGTTTCCCCTACGGTATTCTCGTGACAGGAGCGAGTTCTCATGAGATTTGATGGTTTTATAAGTGTTTGACAATTCCTCCTTCACACTCACACTCTCTCTTGCATGCCACCATGTAATTTGTGCCTGCCTCCCCTTCTACCATGATCACAAGTTTTCTGAGGCCTCCCCAGCCATGCAGAATTGTGAGTCACTTAAACCTCTTTTCTTTATAAATTACCCTGTCTTTGGCAGTGTTTTATAGGAGTGTGAAAATGGACTAATACGGTTTTTTTTTTATTATTATTACTCCCTTGGTATACAGTATCTAGATGATCTAAATATATTATGTGACGTAGACAAAGTAAATTCACCTCTGTGGTCCTTAGTTTTCTCAGTGGGAAAATAGGAAGATCAGCACCAGTGATTTCTAAAGTTTCCTTGAGCTCTAAAATGAATTATCCTACAATTTAAATGTTTAATTCATTTATTTAATGATATTTTCTCTTTGATACCTGTCAAATTCACATTAAAACTATTATCACACTTCATTTATTTTCTAATAAATTTCTGACAACATGAATGAAACCTACAATGTATTTAAGTCTACATAATTCTAAGTGGGATCTGAAGATATGAAATATTTGATTGTGGTTGCCATACATAAATGAGTCAACATACGAAGTTTCCAGGTGCTACTCATTTTTATTGGAAGGTGATAATTAGCTTTATTATGTCTATCTGGCAACACACTATATGTTGTTTCCTCACATAGTTTCATCCCTCTGTGTATCCAGAAATCAACTGAAGCTAGACTCAATCATTTTCTATATGTGCCAGTTGGGTTTAGTTGTGCCTGAAGAGTTTAATTTTGAACATAAAAGGTGACAAAATAGCTTTGACAGCACTAGTTTGACATACATTTTTGTGGAATAGAACCACAACTCAGACCCCTTGAAAATCTGTATTTGTTGCAAAACTAACTAATGCTATTATTTTCCATTTCATTTGAAAAATGTTGAGCAAAATAAATTCCATCATGATATTTCATTGTATATGCATAAACAATGTGGGGATACTTTATCCTTTTTCTTTTCTAAATAAAATATTTAATTTCTGTCTTGGACAATTGTTATCATCTTGCTCTTCTCTTTTGAAAACCTATTCATTATACCCTTGTGGGTTATGTTCTCTCTAGAGTTAATAATTTAAAATAATTTTTCTGCTTAACATTTTCTTCTGATCTCATGGTTGAAAGGCAACAATTTGAATTTTTCTGTTCAAAAAACAAGACTCATGGACTTCCCTTAAAAATAATACTTTTCATCGTTAGTACCATCTTTAAAAATCTTTAGCTATTTACACTTATGTAAAACCACGGAAACCAGAGTGTGAGGAATTGGTAATTTGCACTATTTTTAATTATTATCATGATTGTTGTATTAACTGTTTATAGTCCATATTAATAAAAATGAATGGAGTGGCAGTAACAAATCCAATGAATCTCTGACTGTTGAGACATGGTATTTTGGCCACAAAATTATCATCTTTATGCATTTCCAATGGACACTTCTCACTTGAATATTCTCCTTTTTTATTATTGTTGTTTTTCTACCATGAGATGGTTTCTTAGTACAAGTATCTGCCACATGGTTTCTAGTGTTTTCATGTATATAGTGACAATAGAAATAATGATCATGATCTGTGCCAGTATTGTTATTGCGACTTCCAAATATCTCTATCATATTGCTTATACAAGTTATACACTGATTCTACATTTGCTTTTTACCATCTACATGCAAGAGATTATTGCTTAAAACACATATTTTTCTACTTTTGTTGGTAAAAATTAGAGAAATCAGAAAGTGGAAAAAATAAATATCACCCATAGCTTTATGTCCCTAATGTAGCCACTATTAATATTCACTCTTGAGCAATGTGACTTGTTGGCTTTTGTATAATTAGTGTGGTGCTTCCTTCTCTTATTTTGAAAGTAAACTGCTTAAGGCATTATATATGGCCTTTGGCATTCCTGAAAAACAAATTTTTGATAAGCAAGAATTAATTTTAGTCTAAATTTCATGTGAGAATCTAAGACTAAATAACACTGATTGGAATTTAAAATGATTGACAATATAACAGAATTTTATCTTGTAGAAATCATGTAAAAGGAAAAGTATTATAATATATATAAAGTATGAAACAGATGAAAATATCCTGGCATTTGAGAGCCATTCAAATCCCAGAAGTTATAACTCTTTCAAGGATGCATGTTGACCTATTCAAACGAAAAAAATATCCTGATCCACAACCCAAATATCATATATTCCCTTCCTGTGTCCTGAAGTGCTAAAAAATGCTCATGTTAACATAAATTTTCTTTGCCATCTCCCAAAACTTTATGACCTTTTCCATCCTTGACCTAATTATACAAGACAAATAGAAATTATTTTGACTGAAGGTTTACTTATCTCCTAGTAGTGAATGAAGAGGGTGGATAATCATAAATGTAAAAACTGAGGATAAAAAGTATGTGAAGGAAACAAATTAGGGACAAGTTATTTGCTTTACAAAAGTGGTCATTAAAAATTATTTAAACAAGTCTTCCCTTATTTTCTTTTAAAAAGTATGGTTGAATTTAATCACAAAACTTTTAAAAGCTAATATATAAGATGAGGTATATTGGATTTGGAATTATAGTGCAATTCATTTATAATCTATCTGGTAAGTTAAGTTAGGTTTTATTCAAGAAATAAGTATTGAGTTTATCACTCACACTTTTAAGCAATTTACTCTTGCTCTGTTTTGGGGGGCATTATTTAATACTAATCATATCAACATTACTGACAAGGAGCTGGGGTGTTTTTTAGTAAGATTTGTTTTAACAATTATTTTCTGATAGTGTGGTATTAAATATCAAAAACAACGACAAAGATGCCAAATTGATATTACTTTTCAGAAGATATCTCACAGCTGAAGAAATTGTCTAGAAAAATAACAGTGTCTAATATATGTAGAGAAAATAATGTTATTTTATATTCTGCTTGTGATTATCTGAGTTTGGGGATTAGAAAGAAAAGTTGATAATAGTCCTTGTAAGGAATCTCTTTTTGAAATTTTATCTGTCTTGGAAAAGATAGAATAAACCATATTAATATTTAAATTTCAAGCATATTTTGACTCAAAATGTGTTTAGGAACTAAAGATAATTTTATACTAGTTCAAAAGACCCCGGCTGGAAGAATTTCTCATTTATTACATCTGTCTATTGAAGTCATTGATAAGGTTGTTGAACCAACAGGTCTTAGGAGGAAATACATCAAAAACCAGTAACCATTTCAACTGCTATTTCTGAGGTAACAATACTGGATTGAGACACTGGTTGAGAAAGCAACTATACTTTGATGTACAGTCGTGTATTGCTTAACAACAGGGATACATTCTGAAAAATGCACCATTAGGCTATTTTGTCATTATGTGAACATTATAGTACAGCCTACTACACATCCAGGCTAGATGGTATACCTTGTTGCTCCTAGGCTACAAACCAGTACAGAAGGTTACTCTACTGAATACTGTGCACAACTGTAACACAATGGCAAGTATTTATGTATGTAAACATATCTAAACATAGAAAAGGTACAATAAAAATACCATTATAGGCCAAGCGCGGTGGCTCACCCCTGTAATCCCAGCACTTTGGGAGGCCAAGTTGGGCAGATCACGAGGTCAGGAGATCAAGACCATCTTGGCTAACATGGTAAAACCCCGTCTCTACTAAAAATACAAAAAAATTAGCCAGACATGGTGGCGGACGCCTGTAGTCCCAGCTACTCGGGAGGTTGAGGCAAGAGAATGGCGAGAGCCTGAGAGGCAGAGCTTGCAGTGAGCCGAGATCGTGCCACTGCACTCCAGCCTGGGTGAGCAAGACTCCGTCTCAAAAAAAAAAAAAACAAAAAAAAACCCCACAAAAACACTATTATAAAGGGTTAAAAAAAATGGCATACCTATATAGGGCACTTACCAGGAGCTTACAGGACTAGAAATTGCTCTGGGTGAGTCATTAAGTGAGTGGTGACTGAATGAGGGCCTAGGGCATTGCTGTATACTACTGTAGACTTGATAAACACTGTACACTTAGGCTATACTAAATTTGCAAAAATTATTTTTCTTTCTTCAATAATAAATTAACCTTGGCTTACTGTAACATTTAACTTCAGAAATTTTTATTTTTTTAACTTTTTGACTCTTTCATAATAACATATTAAAACAGAAACATACTGTACAGCTCTACAAAAGTGTTTTCTTTCTTTGATCCTTATTCTATAAGCTTTTTTCTACTTGTAAAATTTTTGTCTTATCTTTTTTTTTTACTTTTAAAACTTTTATGTTAAAACTAAAACACACACATTAGCCCAGGCCTACCTAGGGTCAGTATCATCAATTTCACTGTCTTCCACCTTTACATCCTGTGTCACTGAATGGTCTTTGGGAGAAATAACATGGATGGAGCTGTCATCTCCTATCACAACAATGCCTTCTTTTGGAATAGAAGGACCTTCCTGAGACTGTTTTACAGTTAACTTTTTTTTTAATAAGTAAAATGAGTACATTCTAAAATAAGATAAAAATACAGCATAATAAATGCATAAACCAGTAACATAGTAATTTATTATTGAGTATTATGTACTGTACATAATTATATGTGTGTTACTTTTCTTTGACTGGCAGTGCAGTAGGTTTGTTTATGCCAGCATCCCCACAAACACATGAGTAATGCATTGCGCTAAGACTTTATCATGTCCATGATATCACTAGGCAATAAGAACTTTTCAGCTCCATTTTAATCTCCTGGAACCACTGTTATATATGTGGTCTGTTGTTCACTGAAACATCCTTATACAGTGCATGACTGTATAAGAGTTCTGAGGGATTGTTGTAAAAGTTGTCTGCCTTTAGCATTACGTTTATTCCATTATGGTGATATCTCATAAAATATCTACAATTTACCCTTTAACAACACAAATTTGTGCTGCAAGAGTCTACTTATATGTGGATTTTTTTCCATCTCTGCCACCCCTGAGACAGCAAGATGAATCCCTCCTCTTTCCCTCCTCAACCTACTCAAAATGAAGATGATGAGGGTGAAGATCTTTATGATGATACACTTCCAGTTAACCAACAGTAAATATATTTTCACTTTCTTATAGCATTTTATCTTTTCTTTTTTCTTTTCTTACTGATTCAAAGTCACCACATGGGGATACATGCATTCACCAGTCACCATTCCTGCAATTGGTGACATTTTTCCTTAGAGGAAATGGCCACTACAGATACCTCACTTCATTTAAAAAATATAAAAATTTTCAAAGCATCTTACAGGCCAAAGAGCTGAATAAGATCCTCACTCAAATACTCAAGAATTTCTCTGAGGAAAACTCAGGGGAGTAAACAGCTTTGAAGATTTTCCCACTAGCCACAGTAAGCAACAAACACTAAAGTCATAGAGCTTTAGCGCTGAGAATGTCAACATCTGCATGAAAAGCGGCTCCTCTGGCCAGCAGGAGGGAAGACACCATCTGTGGGAGCCACTCCAAAGCACGTAGAACTCTAGGGCCTAGGGGCCGATGGGTCAGCATAAGGCTGCTAAGCACGGTATGATCTCCTGTTAAGGGGGAGCAGAATATGGGGTGGGGTGAAAAGTGTCAGAACAACAGCTGCAACAGACTCAGAACTGTGGCACCCAACATGCCCAGCAGGGCCAAGTCTTAGACAGGTACCTGACGTACTCTGCCATGCTATGAAGGCCAAGATGCACTGCCTATAGTCCCCTAAACTTCTGGCTCCAGTGCTGTAAGTGGTGGGGCCAGAAGTCTGCAAAGAAGCGAGTTTTGTTCAGCTTATTTGCCACACAGACTTCAGTGCAGAGTTTCAACATTAGCAACATGGTCAAGATCATGATTATGCTCTGCCACAGGAGAGGTGAGTCAAAATGACTTCTGAACCAGAAGAGTATCCGTAAAATATTGGCCACTAGTTTCACTAGACACAAGCAGGTAGAGAAGCCATTGGCATTTTGAGTGCTCCCCACAGTGTACTGCAGGATACATGGGAGCACTCCTCTAAAGACCATGGCTGCAGTTGACTCCAGGAAACCAGCAGGTTCAAGGGCACCAGAAACCAACCCAGCCCACGCACCTGTGCTGCCCTGCTGGATGCCTGAGGTCCACCTGGCAGAAGCCCCTCCATTCTCACAGGCTCCTGCAACTACACACCACAGGCACCTCCCCATTGTTGCAGCTATTCTGTACAATTCTCTACCAACAGGACCCGACACCACCTCCTCCCACTGGACCAGTGCACTCTGCTTGTCTGTCAGTCCTTTCATGCCAGGGACCTTTATGATTTTCCTAACATTTTCTTTTCTCTAGCTTACTTTATTGTAGGAATACAGTAGGTAATACATATAATGTACATAATATGTTTTAAATGACTTTATATCATCAATAAGGCTTTGAGTCAATGGTAGGCTATTAGCAGTTAAGTTTACAGGGAGTCAAAAGTTATACATGGATTTTCAGCTGCACAGGGGTAGGCAGCCCTAATCCTTGCTTTGTTTAAACATCAGCCGTGTATTTTCTCTTTGGATTAGAAAGGTGAGTCCTGCACCAAGCATACGCAATTGACATCACATCTGCTCTAAGTCACGTTGTTCCCACAGAGAGTGTTCTCAGACTCATTAGCACCTTCTAACCTGGGACCAGGGAATGAGAGAAGGTGAAAGGGAATTATGCTGAGGGAGCAAAGATTGAGAAATTGCTGTGGTACAATTTGTCTTTTCCTTTTTATACACATACCGAGTAAATGGACATCCACTGTGAAAACATGCCTTAATTTGAACCCCATAGATTGACTATGAAGAACTAAACCAGACAATGAATTATTGAAATTGGCCATAAGTCATTCTGCAACAACCAAGTGCCCTATAAGGCAAAGTCAAATAAGACATATTTGCCCTTAGATAGCTTAGTTCTACAAAGAAAAATAATCAACTACAATGGCACAACACTGTATAAGTGCTATGATATATAGGTCTCTGAGAACCATGGATGAATTATACTTGGTTGATGAGGAAAGTCTCTGGAGGAAGGTAACACTGGTAAGGGAATGAGTATGGTTTAGGTAGATTATAAATAAGGGAAGGATGGACTTTTCAAAAATGACAGAAGAGCATGTGCCAGGGCCATGGTTCATGAATATGACACTTGGAATTATAAATATTACATCAAAGCAGGAACTCTAACAAGTGACTGTGGAAGAGTGGTGGAGCTGACACTGAGAAAGTTAGTGCCAGGACCAGATCCTGGAGGGGTCTCGTTATAGATGAAGATTCTAAATTTTATCCTGAAAGTTATAGGGAGATACTGAAATCCTATTTAGACCACCATGATTAAAGATATAATCTATTTTCTATAGTAAAATGATAGACATTTCTAGGAAATTACACTTTGCCTTAAATATGAAAAAGTATCCTAAGCTAAGAGACATATTTTATCTTTGTAAGTAATAAACCCTGAAAATTAAAAAGCAGACTGCTACCTTTGGAACCCTTGTTCACAAGTGATTAAGAAAACATTGGTTTTATAAATATTTTGTACATATTTTTATGTAATTGAGTTGCTTCGTTGCATTACTTTTTATTAGTTCATTTTGTTGAAAATAACAATATCGCACTTCAAATGCAAACACACAAAACACTATATGCTATAAATATTTAAAATATCAAAATTTGCAAACATTCCATAATGTGCATACAGATTGTTGTGAATTTATACACGTACACACACCACAAATATATATACATGATATTAAATCCTTTCTTTCCTAAGCATTTGTTAATTTTTCCCTAACTTGTGCTGGCCTATACTTTAGTTGAATTCTTAGTAATTTATTCAGTTGCACTTGATAAATGATTCATGAAATTACTCACATTTTTTATCATTTCAACACAGAAGTGCAATATTGCCCTAGCTTAATTTACTGTATCTAGTAACATTGAGTAGAGCAATAACTACTGGTTAACAAATATTTTAGGCTGCTTTCCATTTCTGTGTAACCTGTTCTGCCTTTGAATTGTCATTATATAAGAGATACATATTACACTAATCTGAGTCAATAAAATGGGAAAAACCTGTAATAAAAATGTGATGAGGCCAGGTGCAGTGGCTCATGCCTGTAATCCCAACACTTTGGGAGGCTGAGCTGAGTGGATCACTTGAGGTCAGGAGTTCAAGACCAGGCTGACCAACATAGTGAAACCCCGTCTCTATTAAAAATACAAAAATTAGCTGGGCATGGTGGTGCATACCTGTACTCCCAGCTACTTGGGAGGCTGAGTCAGGACAATCGGTTGAACCTGGGAGGTGGAGGTTACAGTGAGCCGAGATCATGCCACTGCATTCCAGACTGGGTGACAGAACAAGACTCCGTCTCAAAAAAAAAAAAAAGAGAAAAGAATGTGATGAGTTTGCAAAGTTTGTGCTATTTGGAAAGTTCTTTCATCCAGTGTTTTATAAAGCTGTTTAGTTTATTATTCTAATGTATTTTAAGCATAAATAATAGCTTACATTATTGAGTACCTTTGTTTGAATCATTGCTGTATCACTTACTAGCTGTATTTGAATTTGGGCAAATTTCTTAACATCTCTATGTCTTAATTCCAGGATCTGTAAAAGAGATAATTAGACCAATATTTTCACAGGTTTTGTGAAGATAATATGAATTCATGCATGTAAAAATATTTTAAACAATCATTGGCAGGTAATTAGCACTTAGCATTTATTAGCTTTTGTTATTTTACATTGCAGTTAAATAACTAGGTTCCTCTATCTTGTAGGCATTAGCACAGACACTTGAATCTGACTCTAAATTCATGTACATGTTTGTATTAGTCCGTTCTTACACTGCTGTTAAAAAATACCTGAGACTGGGTAATTTATAAAGAAAAGAGGTTTAATTGGCTTACGGTTCTGTGGACTGTACAGGAGGCATGACTGGTGAGGTCTCATGAAACTTACAATCATGAGGGAAGGTGAAGGGGGAGCGGCACATCTTATATGGCCAAAGCAGGAAGAAGGGTTGGGGGAGGTGCTGCACACTTAAGAAAAAAAAACAACAGATCTCCTGAAAACTGTATCATGAGAGCAGCACTAGGGGAATGGTGCTAAACCATTAGAAATCACCCCATGAGCCAATCACCTCCCACCAGGCGCCACTTCCAGCATTGGGGATTACAGTTCAACATGAGATTTGGGTGGGGACACAGACCCAAACCATATCAGTGTGATAGATTTTTCTCCAACCTGTAATATTATCATCTTTTCCGTTTGCTTCACTAGCAAAAGATTAGCTCAATCTTTTGTCTTCTGCTAAAGTTTTGTCTGAACACATCAGCCCACAAAGCTGCTTCTTTGTTAATATCTTTTTGACATATCTTTTTTACTAGATTATATTAAAATCAGAGACTTTTAGGTTACCCAGTCCCTTGCAAGGTATGTGCTTGGTTAATAATTCTCTCTCTCTCTCTTCATCGTCATTCTATGAATGATAAATTAGGTTACCTGGATCACAGAACCGTTGAGTGAATTATTATGCAACTTATCTAACTCATTCTACGGTGTCAACTTTGTCAGCCATAACTCACCCATCCTTCACTTGGCATATTCAGTCACTATTTTTATTCAGGTTTTTGTTGTTGTTTAGAATCTTCAGGTGCCTGTGCCTCTAAGGTTATATTGAAAGAATTACTGAAATAACATAATTTCTTAAAGTGCTACAAATGATATGCACTGGCCTTTTCCTAAATCATCTACTTGTTCTAGAAAAATTCAAATTTGATTGGCACGATTTTCTTCTCTAGGAAAAAAGCAGCTTTTAACTATGGAAAGCAAAAGCTTCATTTACTGGGTATCATTACAGAACTATGGCCTAGAACAGAAGCTTCCTAAAATTCCAAGAAAGCTTAATTGGTTGTTATAACCTATAATGATTTATTTCATGATCAGATGAGATGAGAGAATTGGATCTTTTCTGATATTCAATCAAAGTTGTTTACTTTCTGTTTTTCTTTAATTTAGCCTTTTGATAAGGAAAGATTTATATATCCAGAGATCAAAATATTCAAACAAAATCCAATGTTTTAATATATTAGTGAAATTTTAGTAGAGGTTTAGTGTTTCAAAGAAACAATCTTGCTGAGTATAATCAGATGATTCTTTTATTTTCCATTTATGAGGTATAAAAAGTCAGATTACTTAGGAGAAATGAAAGAAAAGAATGAACTTTGTCTTTCAGACAAACATGTAGAATCTACTTACTTCTATGAATAGTTTCTGACCTTCCAGACAGTGAATTATCAAAAGAACCCAGACAGTTTGGAATGCTCTTTCCTCATAGAATGTACTAGCGGTCATGTGGAGGGAGGTCATCTGTCTTTGGTAAAAGAAACTCCATTGTTAACTTCATCATGGTAGGATTCACTCAGAAGGCCGGGATTCATAAAGGAGAAAGCAAGAATTCAAGAGTTTTGGTGTGTTTTATCTACTCTAATTAGAAGGGATTTTTTTTTACACAACTATGATGCATAAGAAAAAAAATCGATTATCTCCTGCTCCATCTTGTCTTATCTTTGTACCCCTCATGGCAATTTCCCACTCTCTGTCTCAATTTCACACCTTTTCCTAAAAGCAGAGTGCCTTTTTATGATCGTTACTTATGTACTCATCTATCTTCCTAACTAGATTATGAGTTCCTGGAGGGCAGGACCAACATCTTACCACACTTTATATATATCACAGCTTTAGGCTCAGAGAATCGCACATAGGTTGTTAATGGATGTTTGCTGAATTGAAAACAAAATAAACCCAGAATTTTTTTTCCTATACAGAGAGAGCTAAATAATTTTATTTTCTAGCATATTTTTAAAAGTTCTTCCCACCACCTCTTCTTTAATCATTCTTCTAGATGTGTGTGTATAGAAGGCCCAAAAAGGTGTGTGTGGGTGGGGAAAATTTGGGGGCAGAAGTATTTCTGGTTCAACAGGCCTGTTTCAGATTTTCTCATTACCTCCGTGTTAAGTATCACTGAAATATTTTCCTGAGGATCAGGGTGTTTATGTTCTTTATATAACCTAAATTCTGACTTGGAGTTTACAAATGAACTACCCATGGAAAAGTATTTTGATTTAATCAGGCTTCCATTTCCTAATCTATAAATGAGGCTGCTGGATGAGTTAACACCAGGCACTTTCAAGCTCCAAGATTCTATGAATCTATCATAGTTGATCAATTATTCAGCATTGTCTCTTTCTTTTTTCCCTTTCTCTCTTCTCTCCTTCCTTTTGATGCCAGAAACTTCTTGGAAGAAAACATACAACATCTCTGTCTTTTTAGAGCTTACATTATATTGATGGTACGTGGAGGCAAAATAAGCATAAGGTTACTTAATGGCAGGTGAGTAGGGTCAGTGCAATATGAACACGGTAGAACATGGTCTGTTTCGATCAATAATTATGTGTTCAAAAGGAATAAAATGGACTGTTATTAAGCTCCTACTTGATTTGCAGAAAAACTGCTAACAAATTTTTGATATGACTAAGAGGCCTGAGACACAGCCAGAGACTCCTGTTTTTTTACCAATTTTCTGAACTGAGCAGCTCTCCTTTTTGAAAAAGGAAGCTTAAGAAAATGCAGTTATAATAACAGTAAAAGTATGTGTAGTACTGTGAAACTTGTTCCAGTCTGTCTTCAATAAGTTAATTTATTACATATCTAGGGAAACAAATATAAAAACTTTGGGAAGACTATTGAATCCTGACTCTATACTTGCACTAATTCCTGGTATCACAGAAGATCACTGAATTCTACCAGTAAGAAGGAGAGATTTTTGTAGGCAGGAGTGACATGAAAGTGAACTAAGTAAGCCTAAGGACAGAATCAACAGGACATGGAACTCCAGTTTCTAGAGTTCCTGATTAATACAACTACATAGGTGTGCAGGAGCCAGCTTATATCTACTCATGGAGCCGATTGTGGGCATCTTTTTCCAACTCCATGGTTTAGTGACTTTACGTTGGTAGTTTGAACTTGGACATATTGAAGTGCTTATAGAAATCAGCAAATGCTACAAATCATGACCTTCCGTTCCCAGAACGCTGTTATTAAATTTGCCAGCACAACACTGTGAATGAATATCATTGGCAAATAGCAAATCGCTACACTGTCTCCCTTTATTTTTTTAATATGAGCTATTATATTGGGAAGGTGAAGTGGATATTATTTGAATATTTCCAAAGGGCAAATAATTATGGTTAGTTGGGGGATATAAACTAGAAATTGTGTGTGCTTATGGAGAGGAAGAGTATGAGCCAAGGGATAATTAGATCTTATTAAGTAGTGGCATTTTTTAAGTAGGATAAGTTAATTAAGGAAATGCCATCATAATCACACTGAGAGTATATATAGTAACTGTGAAAATTGTTCCAGTCTGTCTTCAGTGCGTTGTGTGTATGTGTATGTGTGTGTTTGTGCACAAATACGTGTATGTAAGTGTACATGTGTTGAGAAGCCAAGTAAAAAATAATATGAAATTGGCTCTTCTAGAATGGAAGGAAAAATAATATAATAGACAAAGTCGGGTGACCCTTTATGTTCAAAGTGATGCCTCAGTGACTATGATATAGCTCTTGCTTCTTGCCATAGCTGATTAATTCTAGGGTACACACCAGAGCCATGTATGAATAATCAGATTTGCTGTCACTGGGATTTGAATTTGAACAGAGTCATCTGGAAGATGGAGGTCATAAGATCTGTGTAATGTTTCTGGAGGCTAATAGTCAATACAATCTTAGCCACACTGAATTTACTCCATCCCTAGCAAAAAGATGGATCACATTTTTAGCCTAGGCTTACTCATCTGAATCATCAGCCTAGAGATGCATCTTTCAAAGAAACTAGGACTTACGTCATGTCTGCTCCTAACTGAAAAGTAGAGTGAAGAATTGTCTGAACCCTGGTAATAAAAATCGGGAGGAAATGGATGGATGAAAAGTATGGAATAAATCCAGTCTAGTATTATTTTCTCCTATAGTTTTCAAATTCTTTCTTTTATATCAGATTAATGACTTTCTGATTTTTTAATATTATATGTCTTGGGTCACCTTTTGATCTAGTTTTGCTTCAACTAACCCAACAAATTGCTACACTCATCATGGTTAGCTGTCTAAAAGCTGTTGAATTCCAAATCTCCGTGTATTCACCTGTAGTAAAGAATTAAGCCTGATCTCAAATCATACTCTGCTCTTTATGACTGGGTACTCTTAAAATACCCATCTAAAATTTTCAGTTTTAGAGATAAGAAAATTTAAATCCATGAAACTTCTTCAGAGCGTAGCACTTACTCTCTACTCTAATTTTGCATTTCACCAATTGGGGAAATTTTGGGGATATAAGTGGCAGGATTGGGCAAATTATTAGATTTGTACAGCAAGAAAGGCATAATGGGAACATTTCAGAGCAGTTTGAAGGGTTGGGATTCTCTAAATCATATGAATGCTCCTAGATATCTTTATTTCAATTACCAGAATTTTCCTAATTTCCTATTGGTATCATATCTTTCATATAAAATAATTAGTGAGTTGTGAATTTAATTGATATTGTAGTTAAGCCACTGATGGAATCAATATCGGCATTTGACTTTTAGCAGCTTTAGCTCTATGGCTAAAAGCGATAGGAGATTTGTTTGGTTGTTTCTAGTATGGTTAACATGCAGTACCCAAGTATCAATCTGAGCCTTGAGGTAAGATTTTTAAGACTTGCTTTTAGCATGCTTTCACTTTAAATTACTTGATGCCATTGGATGTAGCAAAGATACTACTGTGGCTGAGAAATTTTTCATCCATTGTTTTTTCTCTTGTAACCACAGTTAATAAATTGATTGGCTAATTTGCTGCATTGTACCATGGGCTGGTATTTTCTCATCCTGGAAAAATGAGAGAGTATCTCAATGCTTTTTGCTTCACACCAACCTAAGAAAAATTCAAGGAAGTTAACTTTCTCTGAGGATCTGTGGCCCTTGCCCTGCTCCTAGTATCTACTTCTGTACGTGTTTAGGTGTTATGGTTGCAAACGATAGACACACTGTGGTAGTGCCTTCTGATCCTAAGTTCCTACAGATTGACCATCATTACATGGTTATGTTGCATATAATGTGGACCCAATAATATGTATTTTCATTCCTTTACAACCTGTTGACAATATAGCAACATGGCATTGGAGGCATAATGCAAAATTATACATAGAGCTTAGGCATTAGATCCAGGTGAAGTGGCTTGCTAAATAATTTTAGCATCATAATAGGTCATTTTTATGTAATTTCAGGGCCATAAATTGATGGTGTTAGAAGCCTGTGAGTCGCTTCTTATGGCTTCCTGTGACCTTTCAGAATCTGAGGCCTAAGTAGAATATCTTCTCCACTATCCTGAGAATATTATCCTTGACAAACTGGAGAGTCTTGAAAAGTACCACTCATCCCAAATCTTCTACCTTTGTATCTCCTAGTATTCCCTCTTGATAATACATCTTCTGTATTTTTTATGATGAATTGTAACTTCGATAAGAATGCTATGCCAGAATTGTTTTTCTCCCAATCTCTATCTCGCCAACTCTTCTAAAGGACTAATTCAGAAACTTTGATTCACATGATTTAAAAAATAGAGTGTTTTTTGGAAGGAAAATGGTATAGTTTACAATCAAATAGCTGGACAACCAGGTCTCAGGAAGAGCAGAAAATACAACTTAGACAATGAGAAAATTTATTGGTTAATGTGGCTGCTATAGGAGCACATTAGCATTGGTTTTATCCAGCACTTCAAAACTTTCCCCTAGAAATTTGCTTCCTTCTATATCTCCTTCGTGTATCATGTCTCATTCTAAAGTTGACTTCTTTTGTTGTGTCATAAGATAACATTCATAAGCTCCTAAAGCTACATTCTTCCTTATTCAGAGAGTCAGAGAGAGAGAGAAAGAGAAATTTCTGCCTTAATCATTGAATAAAAGTCCTGAGATTTACTGTAACTGAACTAATTTAGCACTTGTTCATTCATAGAATGTCAAATACTAACTAGCTGACATAGGCATTAGTATGCTGGTAAGTGTTTAAAATAATATCTCAAAAAAGTAAACATGTATATATACACAAGTTTACTATAAATTTTACTGATGTATATAATCAATAGTAATGTATTTTATATTTTAACATTGCTAAAAGAGTAGATTTTAAGTTTTTTCACCACAAATAAATGGTAAGTATGTGAAGTAATATATATGTTAATTAAACTTGATTTAGTCATTCTAAAATGTACACATACTGCAAAACATCATGTTATATACCATAAATATATACAATATTTGTCAATTAAAACAAATTATAAAAACAAAGTCTTCCAAAAGTACAAAAATTTTTATTGATGTAAAATATATTTAGCTCTCAATTTACAAAATAATAGAATATACTATACTTTCACTGTAAATTCCATATGACCAATTAATTCCCACAGAATACATTTGCTAAACTCTTTGTTTTTTTCTTTTTTGAGATGGAGTCTTGCTCTGTTGCCCAGGCTGGAGTGCCATGGTGTGATCTCAGCTTGCTGCAATCTCCGCCTCCCACATTCAAGAGATTCTCCTGCCTCAGCCTCCTGAATAACTGAGACTACAGGCACACACCACCACACCCAGCTAATTTTTTATATTTTTTAGTAGAGACAGGGTTTCACCATGTTGGCAGGCTGTTCTCAAAATCCTGGCCTCAGGTGATCTGCCCACCTTGGCCTCTCAAAGGTGGTTGTAATTAAACTATGATTTGAAAATATCCTAATTGTTGGGAAATCCCATTGATTCTTTCATTGGTAATGTGAGGGAATTATTTGCTCATTTGGACAATAATATTTAAATAACAGAAAGATATATTTTGTTTGCATACCAATACAATGTCTCTGACTCCAGAGTTAGGAAAAGATGTGCAGTAGCATACCTTTATACAGTATTTTCTTCTGTTTTCACTGTTAAAGTAAATATAAATTTCAAGATCATAAGTACTATAAAATTTAGTAAAATATTTTAAAGGTATGAATTAATATATTTTTGCTTTAATATATTTTAGTTATAAGTTCATATAATTTTTAAAATAATGGCTGTGTTTAGTAACTGACTTGCAAATTTTCAAGAAATTTAGCAATTGGCTCTCATGAGCTGGTATGAGCTAGCTCTAGTACACTGTAGGCTGAGGTACAGGTTATGTCCTCACCCCAGACTCAGAAACTGTGGCATGGGGGTGGATTATGCTGTTGACTTTAGCAAATTAAGACAAATCTTGAACTAGTGGTCAGATAATATCATCCAAACCACATGAATGGAACACTGAGATACTGCTAAGAAGGGGAAAACTGATGCTGGGGAGGCAAGCAAAAAAAGGGAACATCACACACCAGGACCTGTTGTGGGGTGGGGAGAGTGGGGAGGGATAGCATTAGGAGATATACCTAATGTAAATGATGAGTTAATGGGTGCAGCACACCAACATGGCACATGTATACATATGTAACAAACCTGCACGTTGTGCACATGTACCCTAGAACTTAAAGTATAATATATATATATGAAACACACCACACACACACACACACACACACACACACACAGTTTGCCACCAACAGGAGCCCAGGCATCCCCAGGGACTGTTGCAGCAGGAACTTGGGAGCCTTTGCTAAAGTGCTGCATTGGCATAACTCAGCGTGTGTGTGTGTGTGTGTGTGTGTGTGTGTGTGTGTGTGCAGAGAGAGAGAGAGAGACAGAGATAGAGAAAGAGAGAAAGGGAGAGAGAGAGAGAGATTTATTCTAAGGAGTTGTCTCACGTTATTACAGAGACTGAGAAGTCCAGACTCATGAGAGTCAATGGTACTGTTCCAAATGAAGTCTGAGTCTCAAGGCAAGAGGAGACCAATGTCTCAGTTTGATGACAGTCAGGCAGCAGGAGATTATTTCTTACTCAGCCTTTTATTCTATTCTATTTAGGTCTTCAAAACATGGGATGAGGCCCACTACATTGGGGAGGGCGATCTGCTTTACTGTCTACCCATTTAAATGTTAATTTCATCCAGACATACCTAAAAATGATGTTTAAAAAATATTTTGGGCATCATGTGACCCAGTCAAGTTGACACATAAAATTAACTATCACACGAAGGTTGTGTGACTCTGCTCAACTTTATAGTTCCTGGGAGAAAAATATGATTGACAACATCAGAGTTAATGGGCAAAAGCTGGAAGTATTCCCCTCAAGAACTGGAATAAGACAGGATGCCTTCTCTCACCACTTCTATTCAACATAGTATTAGAAGTCCTCACCAGAGCAATCAGGCAAGAGGAAGAAATATAAAGCATCCAATAGGAAAGAAGAAGGCAAACTATCTCTCTTCACTGACAATATGATTCGATACCTAGAAAACCCTAAAGACTCCACCAAAAGGCTCCTGGAACTATAAACAAGTTCAGTAAAGTTTCAGGATACAAAATTAGTGTAAAACTATCAGTAGCATTTCTATACACCAATAACATTCAAGCTGAGAGCCAAATCAAGAATGCAATCCCATTTACAATAGCTACAGAAAAAATAAAATACCTAGGAGTACCTCTAACCAAGGAGATGAAAGATCTCTATAAGGAGAACTACAAATCACAGTTTAAAGAGATCATAGATGACACAAACAAATGGAAAAGCATTCCATGCTCATGGGTTGAAAGAATTAATATCATTAAAATGGCCATACTGCTCAAAGCAATCTACAGACTCAGTGCTATTCCTATCAAGCCCAGCAATGTTATCTTTCACAGAAATAGAAAAACTATTCTAAATTCATATGGAACCAAAAAAGAGCCTGAACAGCTAGAGCTTTCCTAACAAAAGGAACAAAGATGGGGGCATCACATTATCTGACTTCAAACTATGCTATAACACATAATCAAAACAGCATGGTACTGGTACAAAAACAAAGACACATAGACAAATGGAACAGAATAGAGAACCCAGAAATAAAGCCACACAGCTACAGTCATCTGATCTTTAACAAACTTGACAAAAACAAGCAATGGAGAAAGGACTTCCTATTGAATAAATGATGTTAGGATAGCTGGCTAGCCATATGCAGAAGAATTAAACTGAACCACTATCTCTCACTATATACAAAATTCAACTGAAGATGGATTAAATACTTAAATGTAAGATCTCAAATTATAAGAATCCTAGAAGAAAAGCTATGAAATACTATTCTGGACATCAGTCTTGGGAAAGAATTTATGATTAAGCCCTCAAAAGCAATTGCAACAAAAACAAAAAACTTGGCAAGTGGGACCTCATAAACTCAATAGCCTCTGCACAACAAAACAATCAACAGAGGAAAGAGACAACCTATATAATGGGAGAAAATATTTGCAAACTAGGCATGTGACAAAGGTCTACTATAGAGAATCTAAAAGGAACTTAATTCAAGAAGCAAAAAGCAAATAACTGCATTAAAAATTAGGCAAAAGACATGAACAGATACTTCTCAAAAGACAGACAAATGGCCAAGAAGCATGTGAAAAAACGTTCAACATCACTAATCATTGGAGAAATGCAAGTCAAAACCACAGTGAGATACAGTCTAATACAAGTCAGAATGGCTATTACTAAAAAGTCAAAAAATAACAGATGCTCGTGAGGCTGCAGAGAAAAGGGAACATGATACACTGTTGGTGGGAATGTTAATTAGTGCAGCCACTGTGGAAAACTTTGGAGATTATTCCAAGAATCTGCAGCAGAACTATCATTTCACCCAGCAATCACATTACTGGGCATATACCCAATGGAAAATAAATTCTTCTACCAAAAAGACACATGTACTAAAATATTCATCACAGTACTATTCACAATAGTAAAGATGTAGAATCAACCTAGGCGCCCATCAGTGGCAAACTGAATAAAGAAAATGTGGTACATATATACCGTGGGATACCACACAGCCATAAAAAAGAATGAAATCATATCCTTTGCAGCAACATGGAGGCAGCTGGAAGCCATTATTCTAAGCAAATTAGTGCAGGAAGAGAAAACCAAATACCTCGTGTTCTCACTTATTATAAGTGGGAGCTAAACATTGGATACTCGTGGACATAAAAATGGCAGCAACAGACACTGGGGACTATCAGAGGTGGTAGGAAGGAAGCAAGGCAAGAGTTGAAAAACTATAACGGTTAGGTACTACGCTCATTACCTGGGTGATGACAGCTATCATATCCCAAACCTTAGCAGCACTCAATATGCCCGGGGAACAAACCTGCAAATATATACCCTGAATCTAAAATAAAAGTTGAAATTACATAAACGACAAAATAATATGGTCGGTTCAGCTTAGAACACTAGGAGTCAACATTCTCTTAAAATTGCTAGATGAAACTGAAGTAGGCCAAAATAGTTCTAATCTATATTTGGTGTAATATAATTATCTCATTTTAATTCAAATAATTGATAATATATTTCCAAATTTAAACAAAATCTAAAAGAATTATATTTTTAGAAGTGAAATAATAAGTGCATCATGGGTAGGAATTTAAGGGACTATTTATCACTTTTGCTCTTAGATTTACAAAGTTGTCCAAAAAAAGAAAGAGGAAAAAAGTGGATAAAGCAATCTGATTTCTTGTGCATGTGTATTAATTGGATTAGGTTTGACTACAACTAACAAAACACCCATACAACAATGGTTTTAATAAGAATGATAAGTCTATTTTTTTAAAATTTAAATTTTTCTATTATTATACTTTAAGTTCTGAGATACATATGCAGAACATGCAGGTTTGTTACATAGGTATACACATGCCATGGTGGTTTGCTGCACCCATCAACCTGTCATTTACATTAGGTATTTCTCCTAATGCTATCCCCCAACAGGCTCCAGTGTGTGATGTTCCCCTCCCTGTGTCCACGTGTTCTCATTGTTTAGCTCCCACTTATGAATGAGAACATGCAGTGTTTGGTTTTCTGTTTTTGTGTTAGTGTGCTGAGAATGATAAATGGTGTTGGAAAAACTGGCTAGCCATATGCAGAAAACTGAAACTGGACCCCTTCCTTATACCTTATACAAAAATTAACTCAAGATGGATTAAAGACTTAAATGTAAGACCTAAAACCGTAAAAACCCTAGAAGAAAACCTAGGCAATACCATTCAGAACATAGACATGGGCAAAGACTTCATGACAATATTTTTATCAAGAGTATGGAATAAGTTAGTTGAAGGATGTTATGATGCTACACAGTGTCGGAAAACCACATTACTTTTCTCTTTTCCCTCTATAAAGACCAGGGTTCCCAATATGAACACATGGCAGGAAATGAATGCTTCAGTTCTAACATTGTACCCTCATTCCTGCCAGTTGAAAGGGCATGTTCTAGAAATTTTATACTTTTTTTCTGTTTACACTCCATTGCCAGGACTCATAGGTCTACTTCCATATTGCTACAAGGTAGGCTGAGAACTGTGGCTTCTGTTCTGGGACACCATGGTCCAACTACATATTAGAGGGAAATCTGTGAATTCGGAATAAGGGCAAATATTAAGAGAAAAGTATCCATTTCTGAAATGCCACAGAATTCCACTGGCTTCTTTTTAAAGAAAACCGATTTGCCTAGTATTACAAATAGTCTTACTGGCCGGGCACGGGGGCTCACGCCTGTAATCCCAGCACTTTGAAAGGCCGAGGCGGGCGGATCACTTGAGGTCAGGAGTCATCAGCCTGGCCAACATGGTGAGACTCCATCTCTACTAAAAATACAAAAATACAAAAATTAGCCTGGCGTGGTGGCGCACGCCTGTATTACCAGCTACTCAGGCGGCTGAGGCATGAGAATCGCTTGAGCCTGGAAGGCAACGTTGCAGCTAGCCGAGATTGGGCCACTGCTCTCCAGCCTGGGCGACAGAGAGAGACTCCATCACAAATATTATATATATATATATATATATATATATACACACACATATACGTATATGTATTTATATATATATATACACATATACGTATATGTATATATATATATACATATACGTATATGTATATATATATACATATACGTATATGTGTATATATATACATATACGTATATGTGTATATATATATATACACACACACACATATACATGCACACATACACATATATATGTATATATAATATATGTATAGTCTTACTGTCAAGAGTCTGTAAGAGTCTGGCTGCTGAAAATATTTGTTGATATAATGGTTCGTCACTTAAAAAAATTTTTAAGGTTCAAACTACTAGCAGTTTTAAAAAATACCTGGGGTTTAAAATGTTTAAGTAAGTACATTTATTTTAAAAGAAAATTGTATTTTACACTAATGAATGGAAAACCCATAATCACTTCCCATAATAGAGAGTAATCACACACATGAATAAAATGTAAGCAATCCTGGGTTTCTGGCTTGTTCAGATGCCAATTTTATTCTATAGAGTTTGGAAAATTCCTATTTTTTTTTGCTTTGTGTGGCTTTAATTCAATTCTTCTCTTATTTTTCTTTCTCATCATCTTTCTTTTCTTCACTTTTTCAGTGTTACTCAATTGTTTTCAATTTATCTATTAAATATTTAACATTGTGAGTAATAATACTCTTTTTCTGTGTGTATTAAAAATAGAAAATATTAAGCCATCTCTGAACCCATCACACAACTAAGAACTCAGTGTTACCAATAACTTTATTCTTGTCCTGTGTCCCTCACATCCCATTGCTCTGCCACTCCCCCAGAGCAATCTCTGTACTGAATTTTCTGTTTATCCTCCCTTGAATGTTTCCGATACATAAGTCCTCACTTAACTTTGTTGGGGTAGGTTCTTTGAAACTACAACTTTAAACAAAATGATGTATAATGAAACCAATTTTATCTGGGCTAATTTACCTAAACAAGTCAAGTTCCATGACATATTTCTGGTCACAAAGACATCACCAAACTTCTTAATAAAGACCCCAAACACGTCTAATATTAAACATTGAAATAAATGAATGTGAGCTCTACATACATTTAAGAAAGATTAATAAGAAGTAAGATAATCATTTATCCAATTTTTGGTGGATAAGTGAGTGATCATGGTCATAGTGATGGTGGGTTAAATGAAGAAATAAATGTTTGCAAAGAATAATTTTAAGGAGTACCTCCTACAACCGTGTAGTTCAAACAGATACAATAATGAATATCGGAGGCTCGCTGAGCACTTTTGTACCACATCATTTATTGTCATGCATTTGTATTTTTATTGTATATCTTGCAGATTTTTATTTTACAATAACTTGTATTAATTTATTCATTCATTTCCCAACCAGCTTATTTTAGTTCAGGGTCAAGGATGGCCAGAGCCTATCCCATAAGCTCAGGGCATAGGATGGAAACCAACCCTGGATGGGGACGCCAATCCATTGCAGGGTGCACAGGTACACAGACATACCCCTACTCATTTATATTGGGACAATTTGGACATGCCAAGTCACCTAACCGTGTACATCTTTAGGATGTGGGAAAAAACTGGTGTACACAAGAAAACCTACGCAGACGTGGAAAAATTTGCAAACTCCTCATGGTGGCCCTGCCAGGAGTGGAATTTTTTTCTCATCAAGTTTAAAGGTAATCGACATTGAACGAAACAATGTTATTTGAGGAACTGCTACAATTTCATTACATACTCAAGTATCCCTAAACAATATATTATATAATTTTTTTGTTTTTAGTTTTCTTATTATCTAGTGTAATATATTTACACCCAACTTATTGTTTGTATTTCCTGGCCAACCGATTAAGTTTCCTCTGAAAACTTGAAAAAAATATCCAGTAATATGCTAGCACAATTGTATCATGGAAAAAAACATATAGGGACTATAGTCAAAAGAAGCACAATATTTTTAAGCTGAGATTCTACAGCAATTCACATGTTCTTAAAGATTCTTCAAAGATGTCTGATAATGTTATATATAAATATGTCAACATAAGCTGTCAATGTGAGCTAGATTTAGTGATTTTAATTCACTATTTATTCAATCATAAAATTAAATAAGCATTATGTCTTGTTTCACTATTATCTATTTTTATATAATTTAACAATTTGAAACCATATTTTAATCTAACATTATCTTCATATAATTTTGTAAACAAAATGGACATTATTAAAGATACAGAATACTGGAACACACTGGGGGAAAATCCACTAGTGAAAGAATCTGTAGTATATGTTAGATGGAAAGGAAACCTTTCTTTGAGAGTAGATACATGTTCATTCATTCATTTGTTAATTATGTAATTGTTATTTTGAATCAATGATATGCTAGACATTCTAATCTATGTGTGGGGGGTGACCAAATACACACATGGATTTCTAGAATTTTAATAATAGACTCTAAATAGTTTAGCCACCAAAGACATATTTGCTTATAAACTGTGATTAGGGCTGGGAAGAAAATGAGCAGATAGCCATATCAGGTGGAAAATGACCAGAAAAATGGAAGATAGAAATAAATTTCCATAAGAGGCAAAAGGAAAAATTTATAGAGAAGATTTCAATAGGCTGATAGAATTTGTAAAGATTTTGGCTAAAGATAAGCTTAGAAAGGAAATTTAAGTATAGGAGAAACATAAGAAAAATCACAGGCATCCAAAAATGTGGGATTTGTTCAGAGAGTATCATGCAATTCTGTTCGTTGAACACTTAAACAGTATTGACTCTGCACCAAATACTGGCCTAAATATTTATCTTAGCTCATTTACTCTTTACAGTCACTATTTCAGGGAGATTCTATTATTTTTCCCATATTCAGATGAGGAAATTGAGGCATGGAGAGGACAAGAAACTTGCTTAAATGTACAGAACCCAAAGGGGATCACTATGAACCCTGACTGGATAGATAGTGAATAAAGCACTGAGGAAGTAATCTGAGATTCTAGTTTGCTCATCTACAGTGTATATTTAGGGTAAAATGAAATAGAAGGCCAAGTTTGCAATTCTTTGCATAAGAGTATGAGTATTAATTATTGATCCTTTCTGCAGTGGGAGATGGGCTCCAAAGGGAGTAATAAACATTAGTGTTTGGCAATGTTTGTTAATGTTTGTTAGACTTATATTTTGGGACTGGCATAGACTTTGGTTCACATTGTTTTTAATCCTCACAATACAATGATATGAAACAGGGTTTCTTTGAATTGTATTCATTCTGAGAACAGTATGACTAATTGTGAGGATTCCATAATAAGCAAAATAGAGAACTGAAATGTAGAGTTCATTCTTCTCTTTCCTTTAACAATCTGCAGCCCTGGGGGCAGTGCCCAGCTCAGAAGGAAAGTTCACAGCCTTAAAATGGTTGATCACATACTTGTGTTGAGAAATGTTTTGAAATAAATATTTCTTTGAAATTCAATCTTCTCTAAGATTGCCTTGATCCGAATTCTAAAGTACAACAGATTGAAGCGTAATTAGACAAATCTTCATTTATTTCTAGTTTGCTCACATGATTAACTTACATGTACAAGTTTCAGTAACTTTATTGCCGAGGAAAAGGAAGCTCAGTGTTTCCAGAGATTCCCAAGCTTTTCGTTTCATTGGGCCTTAGTCATGTTTTCACAATGTTATAAGACTGAAAGGAATACTTTAGAGTTTCATTTATTAAGCAATAAAGTCTAAACTTTATAAATGCTTGTGTCCTAGCAATGTCTTAGATGTTTAGGGAAAATAATACACATAAGTTACAAAAATAATATGACATTTAATTTTTAGATAAGCACAATTACTTACTAATGATATGTATGTATCTAGTGAATACTGCACAACTTCTCAGATACTAGATCCAGACTAGACATAGCCGGGACCCCCATTTTATCAGTTCTACATTGTGTTTTTTTACTGCTTACTTGCTTATCATTGTAGTAATCACTGAAAACAAAACTTTGCAAAGATATGCCATTGAAAGGAATGTAGTATAAACTACTGTTAAAACTGAACTACTTCAACCTACTAGTTTGCAGTATCTGACAGATGTTAAGTATCATTGTGTTTCCCTTAAAACTTTAAAATATTCCACGGTTCTGGGTGAATTTTGTGGTTTTAACCCAGGACACAATTGCACAGGTAGTGAAACATCAGTATACATGATTCAGCACATTTTTAGAATTTGACCTGAGCACATTTCAATTTGCATCCAAACATACTGGATTCAAAACACATATTCCAACCCTAATGTTTTTATTTCAGATAGATTATCCCATAGATGCATTATGTTGTTTGGGGGACTAAAAGTATGGATTCAAATCAAGTTTGAAATCCTTGTTTCACTATTCATTAGCTAGAAGTTTGTCTCTGAGCAAGTTATCTAAGACCTTTGAGCCTAGTTCCTTCATATATAATGTGGAAATAATAATAATAGGCACATCTCATAGTAGTTGTCAGAATTATAGTAAATATTATACTTCGAGTACCCAGTACAGTATTTGGCACCTTTGGGGCTACAGTGAATGTTATTTTCTTTCTTATTTTCTCTACAAAGAGAGATTTCCTCATGAAGTTAACCAAGTTTCTATTTTGAATAACACCATATATAAAATGAGAAATCTTTCTGTAAATACCATGAGGGCAATGATTCGTAAATTAGCAAAATGGAGACTAACACATAGGAGATCAGATGTTTAATTCTGGAGGATTTATGCCATTGCAACCATTAACAATGTCTTTCCTGATGGTAGTTTGCATTTCTGTGGGATCAGTGGTGATATCCCCTTTATCATTTTTTTATTGCATCTATTTGATTCTTCTCTCTTTTCTTCTTTATGAGTCTTGCTAGCAGTCTACCAATTTTGTTGATCTTTTCAAAAAACTAGCTCCTGGATTCATTATTTTTTGAAAGGTTTTTTGTGTCTCTATTTCCTTCAGTTCTGCTCTGATCTTAGTTATTTCTTGCCTTCTGCTAGCTTTTGAATGTGTTTGCTCTTGCTTCTCTAGTTATTTTAATTGTGATGTTAGGGTGTCAATTTTAGATCTTTCCTGCTTTCTCTTGTGGGCATTTAGGGCTATAAATTTCCCTCTACACACTGCTTTAAATGTGTCCCAGATATTCTGGTATTTTGTGTCTGTGTTCTCATTGGTTTCAAAGAACATCTTTAACACGTCTACGCAAATAAACTAGAAAATCTAGAATAAATGGATAAATTCCTGGACACATACACCGTCCGAAGACTAAACCAGGAAGAAGTTGAATCCCTGAATAGACCAGTAACAGGCTCTGAAATTGAGTCAATAATAAATAGACTACCAACCAAAAATTCCAGGACCAGACAGATTCACAGCCGAATTCTACCAGAGGTACAAGGAGGAGCTGATACCATTCCTTCTGAAACTATTCCAATCAATAGAAAAAGAGGGAATCCTCCCTAACTCATTTTATGAGGCCAGCATCATCCTGATACCAAAGCCTGGCAGAGACACAACAAAAAAAGAGAATATTAGACCAATATCCCTGATGAACATTGATGCAAAAATCCTCAGTAAAATACTGGCAAACCAAATCCAGCAGCACATCAAAAAGCTTGTCCACCATGATGAAGTGGGCTTCATCCCTGGGATGCAAGGCTGGTTCAACATACACAAATCAATAAACGTAATCCATCGTATAAACAGAACCAAAGACAAAAACCACATGATTATCTCAATAGATGCAGAAAAGGCCTTTGACAAAGTTCAATAGCCCTTCATGCTAAAAATTCTCTATAAATTAGGTATTGATGGGATGTATCTCAAAATAAAAAGAGCTATTTATGACAAACCAACAGCCAATATCATACTGAATGGGCAAAAACTGGAAGCATTCCCTTTGAAAACTGGCAGAAAACAGGGATGCCCTCTGTCACTACTCCTATTCAACATAGTGTTGGAAGTTTTGGACAGGGCACTCAGTCAGGAGAAAGAAATAAAGGGCATTCAATTAGGAAAAGAAGAAGTCAAATTGTCCATGTTTGCAGATGACATGATTGTATATCTAGAAAACCCCATTGTCTCAGCCCAAAATCTCCTTAAGCTGATAAGCAACTTCAGCAAAGTCTCAGGATACAAAATCAATGTGCAAAAATCACAAGCATTCCTATACACCAATAACAGACAAACAGAGAACCAAATCATGAGTGAACTCCCATTCACAATTGTTTCAAAGGGAATAAAATACCTAGGAATCCAACTTACAAGGGATGTGAAGGACCTCTTCAAGGAGAGCTACAAACCACTGCTCAACGAAATAAAAGAGGACACAAACAAATGGAAGAACATTCCATGCTCATGGATAGGAAGAATCAATATCCTGAAAATGGCCATGCTGCCCCAGGTAATTTATAGATTCAATGCCATCCCCATCAAACTACCAATGACTTTCTTCACAGAATTGGAAAAACTACTTTAAAATTCATGTGGAACCAAAAAAGAGCCCTGATTGCCAAGACAATTCTAAGCCAAAAGAACAAAGCTGGAGGCATCACGCTACCTGACTTCAAACTATACCATAGGCTACAGTAATCAAAACAGCATGGTACTGGTACCAAAACAGAGATATAGACCAATGGAACAGAACAGAGCCCTCAGAAATAATACCACACATCTACAACCATCTGACCTTTGACAAACCTGACAAAAATAAGCAATGGGGAAAGGATTCCCTATTTAGTAAATGGTGCTGGGAAAACTGGCTAGCCATATGTAGAAAGCTGAAACTGAATCCTTCCTTACACCTTATACAAAAATTAATTCAAGATGGATTAAAGACTTAAACGTTAGACCTAAAACCATAAAAACCCTATAAGAAAACCTAGGCAATACCATTCAGGACATAGGCATGGTCAAGGACTTCATGACTAAAACACCAAAAGCAATGGCAACAAAAGCCAAAATTGACAAATGGGATCCAATTAAACTAAAGAGCTTCTGCACAGCAAAAGAAACTACCATCAGAATGAAGAGGCAACCTACAGAATAGGAGAAAATTTTTGCAATCTACCCATCTGACAAAGGGCTAATATCCAGAATCTACAAAGAACTTAAACAAATTTACAAGAAAAAAACAAACAACCCCATCAAAAACTGGGCGAAGGATATGAACAGACACTTCTCAAAAGAAGACATTTATGCAGCCAACAGACTCATGAAAAAATGCTTATCATCACTGGCCATCAGAGAAATGCAAATCAAAACCACAATGAGATACCATCTCACACCAGTTAGAATGGTGATCATTAAAAAGTCAGGAAACAACAGGTGCTGGAGAGGATGTGGAGAAATAGGAACACTTTTACACTGTTGGTGGGACTGTAAACTAGTTCAACCATTGTGGAAGACGGTGTGGCGATTCCTCAGGGATCTAGAACTAGAAATACCATTTGACCCAGCCATCCCATTACTGGGTATATACCCAAAGGATTATAAATCATGCTGCTATAAAGACACATGCACACGTATGTTTATTGTGGCACTATTCACAATAGCAAAGACTTGGAACCAACCCAGATGTCCAACAATGATAGACTGGATTAAGAAAATGTGGCACATATACACCATGGAATACTATGCAGCCATAAAAAAAGATGAGTTCATGTCCTTTGTAGAAACATGGATGAAGCTGGAAACCATCCTTCTCAGCAAACTATCGCAAGGACAGAAAACCAAACACCGCATGTTCTCACTCATAGGTGGGAACTGAACAATGAGAACACATGGACACAGGAAGGGGAACATCACACACCAGGGCCTGTTGTGGGGTGGGGGGAGGGGGGATGGATAGTATTCGGAGATATACCTAATGCTAAATGACGAGTTAATGGGTGCAGCACACCAACGTGGCACATGTATACATACGTAACAAACCTGCACGTTGAGCACATGTACCCTAGAACTTAAAGTATAATAATAATAATTAAAAAAAAAATCTCTTCCCTAATAACAGGTATGTGAGTGGCAAGTAAGAAGCGAGAGGCTGAGAAGCAAGAAGTCAAGCAAAAGGCAGCTAGATTTAGAAAGTAGGAACAGACATACCCTATATCAAAAGATGTTCCATATGTTCCCCTCAAAAAAAAGTTATAGGAAAAATTATTTTTTAGTTTTTTTTCCAATTTTTGAGAGTACCATTGCTCAGAATTGTCATTAAGATCAAGAATTCCTAATGCATTTTTTTTATGTGTATGTTATGTGTGATTGTGTGGCTGACGAAACCATTGAACCAGTGGATTTCACTACCCATTCTACTCATCTTTCCGCAGATCTGACATAGGTAGTTGGGAAAATTATTTCTGGAGAAGAATCTCATTCATTCAAAATTCCTTAGAGCTATATGAGATCATTAATAAAGGTTTTCTCAATTAACTACTAAATCAGCAATTAAGGCAAAGAGATCTACCACAAATAAAAGGATTAAAAATTCAGTCACATCTAGTAATGATGGATATTCGTCACACACAGTCTTTAACTGTAAACTATGACTCTCCCTGCCAATTAAACATAACAAAAAGAGGAAAGGTTAGATGGTTTTCAAGTGGTCAAACTGCCAAGCCAGTAATGAGATTGTATGGTATAGCATAACACTTTTAAAAAAAAGTATACATGTTTTAAAACACAATTTTAAAATAGCTTGAAATATATTTCAGCTAAGTTAAAACTGATCAGGCACATTTATTTGCAGGACCACATAAAATTGCAGTAATGGAAAGGCAGCATGATATACTAATAGTTATAGCTACACCCTACACTTGCATAGAGCAGCATATATGCCAGACCACGTTTTAATTATTAAATATAATGTAAAAATGCTAAAAGTAGAGTACAATAACCTAGAGAATTCCTTTATATTTAAATTTATTAAGATAAAAACATAGAATTTTAAAAACTTGGATACGTTCATTTTGGTTTAACAGGATATGTAAAGTCTCACAAAAATTGAAAAAGCCTATAACCCAACATCTTCCCCTCTTTTACTAGATGGCAACATTTTCTTTAACATTTTTTAATGTTGGCCAAAGCTCCCGTTATTAGCCCTGTGATGAGTGAGTTTTGGCAGTCTAGAGAAGATAGTACTAGTTCTACAGGGCAGTGTTACAATTTTTCTTAAATTTTTTCCTTGCCCATGACTAATTACATGTAGACCTTTTGTAAATTAAGAATTTCAAGTTTCATGCTAATTTATATGACTGCTAGCAGCCTTTACTCAAAGAGTAGCTTCTGTTTATATCTTTATCAAATGCTGCTCTATCTAGTCGGCTTTTTCATGATTGCAAATCTGAAGGAGTATTTTTTTCTGTCTTAGAAAGCATGACTGCAAATCTGAAGAAGTATTTTGTGTGTGTGTCAATGCAAAAATTGCACTGGACAAAGTTAAATAAGTAAGGAAGACTTTATTCAGGGCCGTTACAATAGGGGAGCAAGACCATAATACAATCTGAACTCACCTTTGCTGAAACAAGGGGTGAGAAAGTTTAAAGCGCTGGAGTAAGAGGGAAAACATAGGCCATTTGTATTGGCTCATTGGCTTTACCCAAAGGACAAGTAAACTTTCTTTTATCTTTGTGACAGGAGGTAATTTTACAATTTGGAGCAAGCCACCCACTCAGGAAGTTAAGCTCCAATGTTCTTACAGAGACCTGGAGGTAACACTTTATCTTCCTTGATAGTTACATATCAAAGGGATGGCTCCTGGATCCTTGAGAAAGACAATCCTGAGTTGTGAAACTGGTAAGAGGCTTTTAGAAAGATTTACATCTCAAAGGGGCAGATAAAGGATTTACAATTAAAGTTTTCTGAAGTAAATGCTGTAAGAAAAGGGAGGTCAAGGGGCCTAGCTAGAGTCAAGAAAGAGCCTGTCTAAAGCTTAATCAAGCTGGAAAGAACTTTAAGCCCATCTTGATCGCAAGTATTAACAGAGATTCAGTTGTGAAAACTGATGAGAACCCTATAATAATGGCAAATGGTTGGGATGCAGAAGCTATCCCAGTGTTTAATCTTACCAGAGTTTATTATGATTATGATGATGTACTCATTAGGTGCATTTAAGAAATCACCATGAACCCCATTCATAAGGTGAAAGTGTATTGTGTCCATGTACATGTGAGTCAGACCTCTCATTAATTCTCACCCCTCCCACAGAAATGTGTGAGAAAAACATGGAACATTTTTAAATTGCACGTGTTTTCATAATCTTTGTTAATCTGACACAAAATGGACCGTATTTATACTTCGAATCCTTGTAGCCCATCATTTTCATGGTGGACTGTTATGATGTACAGTGGGCCTCTGTAACCTCCAATATCAGGCTTTCAGTTAATTATGTAAATTATCACTGGAGTATAATAGAATTAACCTAGAATTTAAGGTGGGAAAAATAAGGTGAAATTGTGGGTAGATTTATACCTTTGTCAAAAAGACTTTTCTAATTTAGAATGTTCCAAAGGTAGAATTGATTGGGTTGGGAGGTAGAGAACTCTCTGTTAATCAGAGTATTCGAACTGAAACTTCATATAAGACATAATCAAAAGAATCAATAAATTGGTTGAAAAAAAAGTATTATTGACCTCTAAGGCCCTCTTTTTAACTTCACAGTATTTAGATTTGCCATCTGTCCAGCCAAAGTTATTACCACTTTCTTATTCAATTATTATTGCTTGAATGCTAGTTATAATTCTTTGAATTCCCATGTTTTTGTTTCATAGATTTAGTTAGAATATTAAATGAAGTATTACGCCTTGAATGTATTTGTTCTAAACATATGCAAAACAGAAACAAAAGTCTTCTAGCTCTCTATTTGCCCAAATTAACATGCAGTTGAAAAGTCATAATTAGTAGGTAATGTAAAGCAATAGAAACTTTGAAGGCCCTTAGCTTCCTGAAGAAAATTTTCATAACTGAAATTATCACTGGTTTGTATATACAAAGTTTCTCCCAATAATTTGGCAGTAGTTAGTATTTTAAAATCCTATCTAAGGGGTTTGTGTTGAATTTTTAATACATTCTTTTTTATTGATAATTTGGCTGAATATAAATTATAGTAAAGTATTCTGAAAAAGTTAAAAAATTCAGTCAGTTGTCTGGTACATTGTCTTTCTAATGAAAAGGACCCTGGAGTTTCCAAACATTCATTTTCCCCTACAATTTTATTGCATAAAGACTACTTCCAAAGATTGTAAACAAATGGGTCTTTTTTGTTCTTTTCATTTTTTCAAGAGTAGAATTTCCACTTCCTCTACCATTTCCATTTTTGGCAGATAATAATCATTTGGCATATTTTTATGATGCTTTGTACCACTTACTCTAGACATAAACATTTCCCCTTGAGAAGCTTTCTAAAGAGAGCATTTGACAACTACTTAAAAAATGATTGGATGATATTCTCAACATTTATCCATTACCCATTTTATATTTTGCTTAACAAAGAAATGCATTGAAGATAGACTTACAGTTCAAAAGAAACTCCAGGAGAAACAATTACTTTGGCACAAAAACTGTATTTCACTTCTTGAATTAGTTGATTTGGGAATCAGCAAACTGGAACCATAATTTTAAGTCCTAAGACATAATGCACATGCATTACACAGAGAATCTTGCCCTGAAGCTTGTAGTTAATGAAATAAACTATTGAAAAAAATGTAGCTTTGGAAAATGTTTTAAATGTAGTATTGTGCTCCAATTCTTTTTCGGTAAACTTTTTAATCTGTCAGGTTGAGGAAAATGTGATTGATTTCAAAAGTGTCACTCTGATAGAATAAAGCCACCTCAGAAAAGAAGAGATTGTTAAGGGCAAACAGGTACCAAAGCACTAGCTGATTCTACATGCAGAGTATTTGTATCATATATGAAGTTGTAAAGAATTCCCACATAACCTAACTAAATATATTTTGTGATTTGTAGTACTGAACAAATATTTGTTCCTGCTGCTTGTTTTTATTAAATATTGTAAACTCATGACCCATAGGCTGCATTTAATAAGTTTTGTTCAGTCTGCATATTTTTGTTTTTCTTTGTTCTTTTTCTGAATTTTAAAATGTGTTAACATTTAAAAATTGTATTTATTTAAATATCTTGGTATTTCTTGAAAAATTGAAACTCCAACTGTGTCGGGCCCCTGCCCCACATGGCATTCATATACCCATTTATTTATGTATCCATCTTTTCAATTAGTGAATAAATGTTTATTGAAAACTAATTATATGCCACACACTGATGTAGGAATTGGAAATATAGAAGGTCCCTGCTCTCATGAAGCTCCTATATTAGATAGAGAGGGAATGCACTTTTCCAGTTCATTACAAATAGCATTTCTCTTTATGTGTTTTAAATTATTTATTTAAATAATAATTAATTAATAAATAATAATAATTAAAAAAATTTAAATTATTTAAATTTATTTATGTGTTTTAAATTAAATTTTAAAAAAATTAAGTTAAAATTTTAATTCCTAGTCTATATACTTGGAATGAAAGATGACATAAAGTTAACTCTAAAGCAATTTTTTAAATTAATGTTTTTATTTTGCCTTGAGGACTTTTTTAAGATTAAAATCTGATACCTTAAAATGTATGAGTAAAATTATAATTTAGAAACTGGCAAAGATTGTAAATACTTATCATGTTTAACTAAAATGTCGGTTAACTATAGTCAGCTCTGATTTTTTTCTCATTTTCTGTTTATCAAACATTTATAGAGCATTAATTATGCACTATAAAATATTTTAGGTATGAAATTACATGCATGATAAGACATGACTCCTCCTCTTAATGTGAAATAAATTTAACACAATGTGATAGACTGTAATAGAGTTTACATACAAAGTATAATTCAGAATATTTAAAAAAGAAAGCCAAATTTTTCTTGGGAATTCAAGTAGGGTCTCACAGAAGAAGGGACATTTGGTTCTTTCTGAAAGAAGATGACAAAAATGAAAAGTAGTCATTTTCTAGGAATATAAGACCCAAGAAACAGAATGTACAAACCATGAAAACATAAGGTGTCATAATATAGAAAACTGATAGTCCTAAAATTTATTTAGTGAATGGTTCTGACTTACTTTTCAACAAATCTTTCTCTGAATCTGTTAATGCCGTGTTACTGAATGGTTGGGCTGTCAATCTCCTCTGCCGACATCGGCTTAGCTTAAGTGTACTTGTCAAACAGAAAAGCTTTTGGTTTCATCTGAGACCTACTGAAACAGAGCGCATTTGCATTTTTTGAAAGAGTCCTCTTTGATATTTACAACAATAGGCTGGTATAATATATTTTCCCGTAGAATTAACAAGGAAACAAAAAGTGTTCTATAAAAATAGTAGCGCTTTCTTTCCCCCAGTGGGTTTGCCACCAGAAAACAAGTATTGTGAAAACTACCCCAAGAGCCAAAATGGGAAAGGAACACACTCATATCAGCATTGTTGTCATTGGACACGTAGATGGGGCAAGTCCACCACTACTGGCCATCTGATCCACAAATGAGGAGGCGTCGACCAAAGAACCATTGAAAAATTTGAGAAGGAGGCTGCTGAGATGGGAACGGGCTCGTTCAAGTATGCCTGGGTCTTGGATAAACTGAAAGCTGAATGTGAACATGGTATGACTATTGATATCTCCCTGCCAAAATTTGAGACCAGCAAGTACTACATGACTATCATTGATTCCCCAGGACACAGACACTTTATCAAAAACATGATTATAGGGACATCTCAGGCTGACCGTGCTGTCCTGATTGTTGCTGCTGGTGCTGGTGAATCTGAAGCTGGTATCTCTAAGAATGGGCACACCCATGAGCATGCCCTTCTGGCTTACACACTGGGTGGGAAACAACTAATTGTTGATGTTAACAAAATGGATCCCACTGAGACACCCTACAGCCAGAAAAAATACAAATCCTTAAAGAAGTCAGCACTTTCATTAAGAAAATTAACTACAGCCCCTGGCACAGTAGTAGCATTTGTGCCAGTTTCTGGTTGGAATGGTGACACCATGCTGGAGCCAAGTGCTAACATGCCTTGGTTCAAGGGATGGAAAGTCACTCATAAAGATGTCAATGCCAGTGGAACCAAGTTGCTTGAGGCACTGGACTGCATCCTAACACCAGCTTGTCCAACCGACAGGCCCTCGCCCTTGCCTCTCCAGGATGTCTACAAAATTGGTGGTGTTGCTACTTTGCCTATTGGCGGAGTGGAGACTGGTGTTCTCAAACCTGGTAGGGTGATCACCTTTGCTCCAGTCAGTGTTACACACCTGAAGTAAAGTCTGTTGAAATGCACCATGAAGCTTTGAGTGACTCTTCCTCAGAACAATGTGGCCTTCAATGTCAAGAATGTGTCTGTCAAAAATGTTCATTGTGGCAATGTTGCTGGTGACAACAAAAATGATCCACCAACGGAAACAACTGGCTTCGCTGCTCAGGTGATTATCCTGAAGCATCCAGTCCAAATCAGTGCTGGCTATTCCCCTCTACTGGATTGCCACACAGATCACATTGCATGCAAATTTGCTGAGCTGAAGGAAAAGATTGATTGCCATTCTGGTAAGAAGCTGAAAGATGGCCCTAAATTCTTGAAGTCTGGTGATGTTGCCACCAAATTCTTGAACTCTGGTGATGTTGATATGGTTCTTGGCAAGCCCATGTGTGTTGAGGTCTTCTCAGACTATCCTCCTTTGGGTTGCTTTGCTGTTCATGATATGAGATGGAGAATTGCCATGGATGTCATCAAAGCAGTGGACAAGAAGGCTGCTGGAGCTGGAAAGATCACCACGTCTGCCCAGAAAGTTCAGAAGGCTAAATAAATATTATCCCTAATACCTGCCACCCCAGTCTTACTCAGTGGTAGAAGAATGGTCTCAGAACGGTTTGTTTCAATTGGCCATTTAAGTTTAATAGTAAAAGACTGGTTAACAATAACAATGCCTCATAAAACCTTCAGAAGGAAAGAAGGAGCACTTTTTTTTTTTTTGGCAAGTGGCAGTTTTGTTATTAGTTTTTAAAATCTGTACTACTTTTTTTTTTTTTTTTTTGAGACAGAATCTCACTCTGTTGCCCAGGTTGGAGTGCAGTGGCGTGACCTCGGCTCACTGCAACCTCCGCCTCCTGGGTTCAAGTGAATCTCCTGCCTCAGCCTCCCTAGTAGCTGGTACTAACAGGCGCTTGCCACCGTGCCTGGCTATTTTTTTTTTTTTTTTTTGTATTTTTAGTATAGATGGGGTTTTCCCATGTTGGCCAGGCTGGTCTCCAAATCCTGACCTCAGGTGATCTACCAGCCTCAGCCTCCCAAAGTACTGGGATTACAGGTGTGAGCTGCCTCGTCCAGCCTAAAATCAGTACTTTTTTTTTTTTTTTTTTTTGAGATGGAGTCTCGCTCTGTCGCCCAGACTGGAGTGCAGTGGTGTGATCTCCGCTCACTGCAAGCTCGCCTCCTGGGTTCACGCCATTCTCCTGCCTCAGCCCCCTGAGTAGCTGGGACTACAGGCGCCCGCCACCATGCCCGGCTAATTTTTTTGTATTTTTAGTAGAGACAGGGTTTCACTAAAATCAGTACTTTTTAATGGAAACAACTTGACCAAAAATCTGTCACAGAATTTTTAGACCCATTAAAACAAAGTTTAGTGAGAAAAAAAAATAGTAGAAACCTCAACTTATAAGTAATTGCTTATTGTAAACCATACACAATTGATTCCTAATTTATCAAAAAGTGTGTGGCCAGTTTTTTAAGTCAACTGTTTGGAACTCAGAATTTCCTACAGAAATTGCTTTATACATAGTGATCAATTCATAACCCATCAGAGAAATATCCATATCCTTCAATCAGGTACCAAAAGAATCCATTTGCCACACTCCTTTAAGGGCAATGATTTAGAGTTTTGACTTGGTCTTGCAAAAGGACCCTGAAGCAGGATCTTAGCTTGCCATTTTATTCTGCATTTCCGTAAAAACACAAGGTAAATGGGATAGGAAGGCGTCTGAAGATACATTGGAAAGAAATGGAATCAAAGGGGATAAGAAATGGCAGAAAAGGAAAATGTTTTTGGAGGAGTTAGATGAGCTGAATAAGGACACTTCAGGTTATAGCGGCCTCTGTCTCATCTATTGTTTTTGGTTTTTGATGGTTCAGAATTTTTGGGATAGGAGAGATGGTGCTCTAAAGCTGTGCGGTCCAATTTGGTAGCCACGAGACACATGTGGTTATTTAAATTTGAATTAATTAAAATTAAATACAACTAAAATTTATTTCCTCAGTTGCACTACTACATTTCAACTACTCAATGCTACGTTTGTTTTGTGACTACCATATTGGACAGCAGAGATACAGAACATTTTCATCACTATAGAAGATGTATTAGGTAAAGAAGCCAACAGTAAGTATTTTAGGCTTAGTGGGCCATGATCTGTGTCTCATATTCCCCTTTTTTCCACAACCTTTACAAATATTAGAAACATTATTAGCTCATGAATTGTACAATAAAAAATTAGAGGCTAGTCACCGTTGGTTAAACCCTGTTCTGGAACATCTCATCCTTTTCCTCTAATGAAGAGCAGGTTAGGAGGTCAGAGGTACATTCATGATTACAGAGGTTTTCTTGATCCTAAAATGGGTACTTATGCCTCACGTTGAAATTTCAGCAAGAATAGGAGCATGATCCTTTCTACCTCTGCTAAGAACTGTGATTGGTCTATAGATTTCCTCTACCAAGCCCTGGTGAGCAGGGCCGTATTTTTAATCTCAGTGCTCATGGATGGTGTTACCTGAGAAAATGTATTACAATGTGATTGCTTTGGAAGCATCAGTCTTTTTGTCCATGGCATTTTCAGATGAATAAATTACTAAAAATACATATTGATGAAAGATTCACATGCTCTGTTATAATATCATTATAATTAATCTAAAAAGGCATTCTCTATTTAATGCAATGAAGTGGAACATCTTATAGGGTATTTATGCTCATTTAAAAAGATATTTTATATTTATAGTGAGAGTTTAAATTTACGTGTATATTTTGCATCATAAAAATGTGATCATTGCTACTATTCTTCTATTACTAAAGTTCTAAATATTTTATATTTCTCCTTTAGCTATCACCACTGGTAATAGTAAATATGAAGTTTCTAATCTTAATTTTGCTTTAAAAACAGAAAAGAAAAATTTAGAAAAATTATCTAAAATATTTATACATTCAGTTCAACAAGATTTGTTAAATATTAGCTATGTGGCAAACACTATGCTAATAAGTAGTATAGTATTATATGTATATTAGTTTGGAGCATAAAATAATTCAACTGTGATTTGACTTATCTCAATAACACATGATGTGTTTGTAAAGTGTTTAAGCACTGTTGGGTGTTTGTCATTCACTACATAGTTTATTCCTCACAAAAATCTCATGGAGAAGACACTATTATTACACCCATTTTAGAAATGAGGCACATTTGCTTACTTCTGCCAGGATCATCTTTTCTACTACTATATGATCCAGAAAAATGCAATAATATATGTGAAAACATCAAGCAGTGCCTAGTTCATGATAAAAACTCAAGTATTAAAACTCAAAGCAGTGTGACAGTAGAATATAGTAGTTAGGACTGTAGGCTCCGGAATCAGACTGTGGTTTCAAATGCACTCCAATGCCAAAACCAGACAATGACATTATAAAAGAGGAAAACTACAGACCAGTATCGCATGAATACAGTGCAACTATCCTCAGCAAAATATTAGCGGATAAAATAAAAGTAATTATACACTATGACCAAGTGGGAATTATCCTAGGTATGCAAGACTGGTTTGACATTTGAAAATTAATTAATGTAATTCGTCACATTAACAGGTTAAAGAAGAAAAATCACATAATCATAACAATAGATGTAGAAAAAGTATTTGAAAAAATTGAACACTCATTTATGGTAAAAACTCTACAAACTAGAAATATTGGTGGACTTCCTCAATCTGCTAAAGAACATTTACAAAAAAACCTATGGCTAGTATCACACTTAACAGTGACAAACTAGAAGCTTTCTCTCTAAGATTAGGAGTAAAGCAAGAACATATCCTCTCACTACTCATATTCCATATTGCACTGGAAGTCCCAGCTAATGCAATAAAACAACAAAAAGAAAGCAAAGAAAAAAGGAAGTAAAAAGTGCACAAATTGGGAAGGAAAAAATAAAATTATCTCTATTCACATATATCATTATTTATATAGAAAATCCCAAAGAATCAACAAACAAGCCTTAGAACTTATAAGTGATTATAGCAGATTTGCAGGATACAAGGTGATATGGTTTAGCTGTGTCCCACCAGATCTCAACTTGAATTGTATCTCCCAGAATTCCCATGTGTTGTGGGAGGGACCCAGGGGGAGGCAATTGAATCATGGGAGCCAGTCTTTCCCATGTTATTCCTGTGATAGTGAATAAGTCTCACAAGATCTCATGGGTTTATCAGGGGTTTCTGCTTTTGCTTATCTCTCATTTTCTCTTGCTGCCACCATGTAAGAAGTGCCTTTCACCTCTCGCCATGATTCTGAGGCCTCCCCAGCAAGGTGGAACTGTAAGTCCAATTAAATCTCCTTTTGTTAACATACAAAAGTCAGTTGCTTTCCTATATACAAGCAGTGAATGACTGCATTTGAAATATAAAACACAAAGTCATTTATATGAAAATTAAAAACCACACAAAATATTTTTTCCAAAAATGAAATAGGTATGAATTTATCAAAAACATAGAAAACTGTCTGAGAAAAATTATAAAACTCTGATTAAAAATCAGACAATTTAAATAAATGAAAATATTCCCTGTTAATGTGTAGAAAGATTCAATATTCTTAAGATGTCAGTTCTTCCTACCTTAGTCTACAGAGTCAATGCATCCCAATCAAAATCTTAGAAAATTATTTTGTGGATGTTGACAAACTGATTTGAAAGTTGAAACAGAAATGCAAAAGACAAGGAATAACCAAAACAATATCAAACAGAAATAGTTGGAGGATTGATTCTACCTGACTTCAAGACTTAATATAATGGTATAGTAAGTAATAGAGACAATGTGATATTGGCAAAATAGACAAATAGGTGAATAGCACAGAATAGAGAAACTAGATATAGACCCAGTTAATACAAATGAGGACAACTGATCCTTGACAAAGGAGCAAACACAACTTCTTGCAAAAATCATAGTCTTTAAAAAAAGGTAGTCTATTCACACACAAAAACTGAACATAGACTCAAACCTTATGTTTTTAGCAAAAATTAACTAAAAACAGATCATAGATCTAAGTGTAAAACAAACAAACTATAAAGCTGCTAGAAGATAATATGGAAGAAAATCTAGGTGATCTTGTGTTTAGTGATGACTTTTTAGATACAAACCAAAAACATAATCAAAAAAATACAAAAATAATAAGTTGGGCTTCATTAAAATTAAAGCCTTCTGATCTGCAAAATATACTATTAAGAAAATTAAAAGATACAAACTTGGAGAAAAACCTTTGCAAAACAAATATCTGCTAAAGGACTCATATCCAAAATAGACAAAGAATGCTTAAAACTTAACGATAAGAAAACAAGCTATCCGATTAAAAAAAACAGGCAAATTATGAGAACAGACAACTCAACAAAGAAGATATACAGATGGCAAATAGGGTGACATGATGCTCAATATCATGCTTAAGGGAATTGCGAATGAAAACAGCAATAAGATACCACTACACACCTACTAGAATAACTACAATCCAGTACCCTGACAACACCAAATGCTGATGAGCATGTGGGGCAACAGGAACTCTCATTGTTTGTGGGAATTTAATATGGTATAGCCACTTTGAAAGACAATCTGGCAAATTTTTTCCCCCAAAATGAAGCTAAGCATTGTCTTACCACACAGTCTAGCTATTGCATTTGTTGAGGGTTAATTTGTGTCTCCCCAGAAAGGTATGTTGAAGTCCTAAGTACCTTAGAATATGATCTTGTTTAGAAATAAGATCTTTACTGAGGTTACCAAGTTAAAATGAGGTCATTTGGGTCAGCCCTAATTCAACATAACTAATGTCCTTATAAAAATGGAAAGTTTGTACACAGACACAGACATGCACAAGGGAAAGACTATGTGATGACACGGGGGAGAACTCCATGTAAAATGAAGGCAGAGATTAGCATCTGCAAGCCAAGGAACACTAAAGATTGCTGCTAATTCTCTAGACACTATTAGATAAGCATGATTATGGCCATAAGAAAAAAAACCTGTGCTGCTGACATCTTGACTTCAGACTCCTACCCTCCACAACTGTGACACAATACATTTCTATTGCTTTAAGCCTCTCAGTTTGTAATATTTTGTTATGGCAGCCATAGAAAACTAATACAGAACTCCTGGATACATATCTTAGCAGCTTTATTCATAATTGCCACAACTTGAAAACAAGCAAAATGCCCTTCCATTGGTAATAGAACAATGCAATGGAATATTATTCAATGATTTTCAAAAATGGATATCCAGCCATGAAAAGACATGGAAGCACCTTAAATGCATATTACTTAGTGAGAGAAGCCAGTCTGAAAAGACTAAATATTGTATGATTCCAACTATATTATATTTTGAAAAAAGCAAAACTATAGAGACAGTAAAATGATCACTGGTTTCTAGGGATTTGGCAGGAAGGACGAACATGTGAAGCACAGGTAATTTTTAAGACAGTGAAACTATTCTGTGTAATACATTAATAGCAGATACATGATATTATGCATGCATTAAATCCCAGGCAACTGTACAACTCAAAAGTAAACCCTAATGTAAACTAAGTGTTTTAGTTAATAGTTATGTATCATCAACTGTAACAAATGTACCATACTATTGTAAGATTTTAATAACAGGCAAAGCTATGTGCAGGGGAGAAAGGAGATGTAACAAGAGGGTATAATGTCACTTTCTGTACTTTCTGTTCAATTTTCTGTAAACCTTAAACCGCTCTAAAAACTAAGTATTTTAGTTTTAAATTTTTATTTTGTTTTAAATTGATGCATAGTTGTACATATTTACGGGGTACAGTGTGAAGTTTCAATCATGTATGCATGGCATAGTAATTAAATCAGGGTAGTTAAAAAAACTGAAGTCTACTAATTAAAGTAAAATGTAATCCAACATTTACTAGCTGTGTGTCCTTGAATGATTTGTCTTTCTGGTAACTTGGTTTTCTCCTCTGTAAAAAGGGACTAATAACAGAACAACAACCTTATAGAGTTGTGAGAATCAAATGCAATAATACAGGTAAAACACTTAGCACAATGCCTTGTACTTATAAGTACTCAAGCGTGTTTTAAAGAGAAAGAAGAATTTTATAGGTCACATACTAGCATCTATTTTTAAAGTGGAAGTTTTTGAAATAGCTAGATACTGGCCAATTAGTACTTTAATATATAGTATGAAGTCTAATTTCATTACATTTCACACTGGGCTTGTTTGTGACTGGTACATAGTGTTGAAACAGTCATCCAAAATTAGAGAATTTACTCTTGGTAATGTGCATTTTCTTAAACAAGGTTTAAATGATCTTATACAGCTCCTAACATTATGCAGCAGATGTGAACAATGTACCAAGTGGAGTTACTATGACAGACAACTATGAATGCAACTTAAATGCCTTATCTTCAGTGCTCTATTAAAATAATCCTGTTTGGACAAACAGAAGTTTAGAATCATATTAGGGTACATATAAGATCTCTAGGGACATTTAATAATGACTTACATATTCTTCTTTTATTAGAAATCTTGTCTTTACTAGCAGGTGAGGTTGAAAATCAGCATTCTGTTGTCTAATTCAATTTTCAAAGCTGGCAACATAGAGCTCATAGGCTGGTAGTGGTATTTGTAAATTAAGGAACCCTTTAATCTTCACTGACAGAGATTTATGAAACATTGTTTTAAATTTATGCTTCATGTGGTAAAGCAAATTGAGTCTGTTTTATAGACAAAAGCAAATTGAGGAAACCCATAGATGACTTTGGCCACAGAAGGGTATAAATGATCTTTAACTAAATTTTGTCAGTACTATGTGTTGAGCTATTTAAATAAAACATGTTTTTGACATTTATTGCAAAATAATACTTTTTTCTAGACTCCTGCATTCAGTGGAGTATAAAATGAATCATTAAGGGAATTAGTAATCCTTCTCTTGACATGAATTGCATTATCTGAGGATGTGAAAATCTGAATGTTTTTTTCTAAGTAAATTATTGTGAAAAGGTATCCAAAACTATTATGATGAATTTAAGGTACGCCAAAACATTACACGACCCACATGCATAATTGCTAGGCAAATTTACTGCCATTGTTTAGGATTTTTATGTATATTCATTCCCTTGGGTGTAATCCCATGTAGAGTCAAGGTAAGTAAATCATTCTGATGGTGGTGCCTGCTTATAGAAATAGAACAGGTCTCACAGAGCATGAGGCTTTCTGGTGGACACCCTGCCACCAGCACTGGCATTGTTATTATTATTCTCCTGTAGAAAAACAAGAAGGCCATCCATTATGAACAAAGCTCTGCAGTAGGAAGAAAAATATATGTGTTGTTAGACTCCAAGGAACATAACATTTAATGAGCAAAAGAGGCTAATGTGTATATGTGTATAAACATGAAAACACAGACAATCAGCCACAAGATTAAGTAGCAGGAGGTATGAAAGATGAAGCATGGGTAAAATATTTTTCTTTAAAACAAACAACACTGTAACTGTATCCAGAAAAATTATCTGATAATATTAGCAATACAATCAGTGTGACACTCAAATTTTTATATATGTATATATGTGTGTGTGTGTATATACATATATATAGCAAATGCCATTTATACAATTTCAATTGAATAATTTAAATATGAATTATTTTGGCTACTGCTAACTGGGGAGGGGATAATAGACCTTTGATATCAGTTCTTTCATTTCTGAAAAATGTTACTCTAGATAAACCTAAACTAAAACACTGTAATATGTATTTATGTTATTTACATTGAACTATAGTGACCCTGACATGCATCGTAGATAGCCTTCCCTCCTAGCTACATAATTTAAGTGACATGCCATGTCTCTATGTCAAGATACCACCAGCAGAGATGTTAGGAAAAAAAAGATGTAATTAATTCAATGACTAATTATTTTTTCTACTCTGATGAAATTTATCCTTCCATGGCTCATCTTAGTTCACTTATATTATCTTTATTACTTGTACATGTGTACTTACTATTTCCTCCATTTTTTTCCTTTTTTTTTTTTTTTTTTTTTTTTTTTTTGAGACAGAGTCTCGCTCAGTCACCCAGGCTGCAGTGCAGTGGCTCTATCTCCGCTCACTGCAAGCTCCGCCTCCTGGGTTCATGCCATTCTCCTGCCTCAGCCTCCCGAGTAGCTGGGACTACAGGCGCCTGCCACCACGCCCAGCTAATTTTTTTGTATTTTTTTGGTAGAGACGGGGTTTCACCGTGTTAGCCAGGATGGTCGCGATCTCCTGACCTCATGATCCACCCGCCTCAGCCTCCCAAAGTGCTGGGATTACAGACTTGAAACACCGCGCCTGGCCTTTCCTTATTTTTTATGTTCTTTCTTAACATGCTTTGAATTTCTTTTCTAACTCGTGGTAGATTAGTGATCATTTCCTAATCTAACTTTTAATTTCCTGCCCTGGTTTGATGAAATGGACTGAATTTTTTAGTAGTTACCTTTGCATTCCTTTAATCCTCAGTTTAAAAAATACATGGAGTGGACGAATGAATTAGGAAACAAAGCCCAGTGATCTACTGCCTACAAGAAACATACTTCACCTATAAAGACACACATAGACTGAAAATAAAGGCATGAGAAAAGATATTCCATGCAAACAAAACCCAAAAAACAGCAGGAGTAGTTACATTTTTATCAGAGAAAACACATTTCAGGAAAGAAACTATAAGAAGCAACAGAGAAGGTCATTATGTAATGATAAAAGGGCCAACTCAGCAGCAGATATAATAATTTTAAATATATACATCTAACACTTGAGCACCTAGATATATAAAGCAAATATTATTAGAGCTAAAGAGAGAGAGAGATTCCAATACAAAAATAGCTGGTAACTTCAACATCCCACTTTCAGCATTTGACAGCTCTTCCAGGCAGAAAATCAAAAAAAGAAACATCAGACTTAATCTGCACTATAGAACAAGTGGACTTAGTAGATATTTATAGAGTGTTTCACCCAATGGCTGCAGAATACTCATTCTTTTCCTCAGTACATGGGTCATTACCAAGGATAGGCCATATGTTTGGTCACAAAACAAATCTTAAAAAATTCAAAAAAGTTGAAATAATATCAAGCATCTTCTCTGACCATGATGGAAAAAAACTAGAAGCCAATAACAAGAGGAATTTTGGAAATTATACAAACAAATGGAAATTAAACAATATGCTGCTGAATGACCAATGGGTCAATGAAGAAATTTAGAAGGAAATTTAAAAATTTCTTCAAGCAAATGATAATGAAAACACAATATAGTAAACCCTATGGGATACAGGAAAAGCAGTACTAAGTGGGAAGTTTATAGCTGTAAGTGCCTACATCAAAAAACAAGAACAACTTTAGATAAACAACATAATGACACATCTTAAAGAACTAAAAAAGCAAGAGGAAACCAAACCCAAAATTAGTAGGAGAAGAGAAATAATAATGATTAAAGCAGAAATAAATAAATTTGAAGTGAATAAAACAGTACAAAATATCAATGAAACAAAAAGTTGTTTTTTTTTTTTGGAAAGAGTAACAAAATTGATGAAACCTTAGGCAGACTAAGAGAAAAAGGGAAAAAACTCAAATAAATAAAATCAGAGATAAAAACTGAGACATTACAACCATTACCACAGAAATTTAGAGGATCCTTAGTGGCTACTATATGCCAATAAATTGAAAAATCTAGAAAAAAATGGATAATTTCTTCACACATACAATCTACCAAGATTGAATCATGAAGAAATCCAAAATCTGAACAGACCAATAACAAGTAATGAGATTGAAACTATAATATAAAAAGTCTCCCAGAGCAAGAGCAAGAAAAACCCAGCATCTGATGGCTTCACTGCTGAGTTCTACAAAACTTTAAAAGATGAACTAGTATCAATCCTACTCAAACTCTTAAAAATAAATGAGCAGGGAATACTTCCAAACTAATTCTTCAAGGCCAGCATTATCCTGATACTAAAACCAGAGAAAGGTACATTTAAAAAATGAAAAACTACAGGCCAATATCACTGATGAATATTGATGTAAAAATCCTCAACAAAATATTAGCAAACCAAACTCAACAACACATTAAACAGATCAGTCATTATGACCAAGTGGAATTTATTATAGGGATGCAAAGATCATTCAACATATGCAAATCAAATCAAACAGTGTGATGCGTTATATCAACAGAATGAAGGAAAAAATCATATGATCATTTCAATTGATGCCAAAAAGCATTTCATAAAATTTAATATCCCTTCATAATAAAAAAACTCTTATAAAACTGTCTATAGAAGGAACATACCTCAACATAATAAAATCCATATACAACAGAGCCACAACTAGTATCATACTGAATGGGGAAAAACTGAAAGCCTTTCCTCTAAGATCAGGAACATGACATAGATGTACAATTTCAAACTGTTATTCAACATAGTACTGGAAGTCCTAGCTAGAGCAATCAGACAAGAGAAAAAAATAAAAGGCATCCAAATTGGAAAGAAAGAAGTCAAATTGTCCTTGTTTGCAAATGTTATGGTCTTATATTTGAAAAAACTTAAAGACTCCACCAAAGAAACTGTTTGAACTGATAAATAAATTCAGTAAATCAATAAATTTTCAGGATACAAAATCAGCTTACAAAAATCAGTAGCATTTCTATCACCAACAGTAAACAATCTGAAAAAGAAATCAAGAAAGTAATTCCATTTACAACAGCTACACGTAAAATAAAATATCTAGAATTAAATTTAACCAAGAATTGAAAGATCTCTACAATAAAAACTATAAAACATTGATTAAAGAAATGGAAATATATTTCAAGTTCATAGGTGGGAAGAATCAATATTGTTAAAGCGTCCATACTACCTAAATCAATCTACAGATTTAATACAATCCCCATCAAAATACCAATGACATTCTTCACAGAAATAGAAAAAAGAAGTCCTAAAATTTATATGGAACCACAAAAGACTCAGAATACCCAAAGCTATCCTGATCAAAAGGAACAAAACTGGAGGAATCACATTTCTGACTTTAAATTATACCACAGAGCTATAGTAACCAAAACAGCATGGTATTGGCATAAAAACAGATACAGATCTGTGGAACAGAATGGAGAACACAGAGGTAAATCCATACATCTTCAGTGAACTCATTTTTGAGAAAGGTGCCAAGAACATACTTTGAGAGAAAGAACAGTCTCTTTAATAAATGGTGCTGTAAAACCTGGATATTCATATGGAAAAGAATGAATCTCTACAATATATCTCTTGCAATATACAAAAATCAAATCAAAATTGATTAAAGTCTTAAATCTAACACCTCAAACTATAAAGCTACTACAAGAAAACATTGGGGAAACTCTTCAGGACATTGGTCTGGGCAAAGATTTTTTGGTTAATACCCCATAAGCACAGGCAACCAAAGGAAAAATGGACAGTTGGGGCCACATCAAATTAAAGAGTTTCTGTATAGCAAGGAAACAAACAACAAAGTGAAGAGACAACCCAAAGAATGGGAGAAAATATTTGCAAATGACTTGTCTTACAAGGAATTAATAACCAGAATATATAAGTAGCTCAAAAAACTCTATAGGAGAAAATCTAATCATCCAGTTAAAGCATGAGCAAAATTTCTGGATAGATATTTCTCAAAAGATGACATACAAATGGCAAACAGTCGTAAGAAAAGGTGCTCAACATCACTGATCATCAGAGAAATACAAATCAAAACTACAATGAGATGTCATCTCACCCTAGTTAAAATGGCTTTCATCCAAATGTCAGGCAACAACAAATGCTGGTGAGGATGTCGAGGAAAGGGAACTCTTGTACACTGTTGATGAGAATGTAAATTAATACAACTATTATGGAGAACAGTTTGGAGGATCCTCCAAAAAACTAATAATAGAGCTACTATAGGATCCAGCAATCCCACTCCTAGATATGTGCCCAAAATAAAGGAAATCAGTATATCAAAGAGACATATGCACTTTCATGTTTATTGCAGCATTATCCACCATAGCCATGCTTTGGAAGAAACCTGAGTGTTCATCAACAGATGAATAGATCAATAAAATTGTACATATTCATAATGGAGTACTAATATTCAGCGATTAAAAAGGAATGAGATCCAGTCATTTCAACAACATGAATGGAAGTGGAGATCACTGTGTTAATTGAAATAAGCCAGGCAAAGAAAGACAAAATTTGCATATTCTCACTTATTTGTGCGAGCTAAAAATTAAAACGATTGAACTCATGACGTTAGAGAGTAGAACAATGGTTACCAGTAGTGGGGGAGTCAGAGGCAAGTGGGGATGGTTAATGGGTGGCAAGTGGAGATGGTAAATGGTTACTAACAAATAGAAAGAATGAATAAGAACAAATATTTCTAGCACAACAGGGTGACTATAGTAAAAAATAATTGAATTGTACGTTATAACAACAGCAAAAGGGTATAATTGAATTGTTTGTAACACAAAATATAAATTCTCGAGGTGATGAATACCCCATTTACCCTGGTGTGATTATTATGCATTCCATGCCTATATCAAAATATCTCAAGTAATCCATAAATATATATGCCTATGATGTACCCACAAAAATTAAAAATGAAATTAAAAAAATAAAAATAATATTTTCTCTCCAAGTCTACATAAGATTTGTCTACAATATCATTATTCATCTCCCCAGAAAGATGAGAATTTAGGTATACTTAAACTTTTCACCAAGCCTTTCCATTTTCCTTATCATTTGTTTTAAAATATTAGTTCTAACTTTCCTTAGCATAACATAATCAGATGTTAATTAAATATTCCAACAAATAATATATTTATCTTTTTTTGCATTTCATTCTTGGCTTCTAGGACCTCTTTTCTTCTGACTTAAGTTTTTCCTTTTATATCTCTTTGAGCAAACCTCTATAATTCCTGAACTCTTCTTAACATTTGAGCATCTAGAAATGTCTTCGTTTCACCATTTCTCTTTAAAGTAGTTTAGTTAGATATGGAACTCTAGGTTGACATCCTTTTCTCTCAGCACTTTGAAAATAACTCATTGTGTTCTCACATCTATTTTAGCTCATGTCATTCTAGTGATTGCTCCTTTATAGTTAATCTGGCCCATCTTTTAGGTTATTTTAAAGGTATTTTTTTTTATCCCTGATATACTGAAATTTTAGCATGGCATATTTCTGTGTGTATTTATTATTGTTCATCCTTTTTAACACTCTGTTTTCACTTTCAGTCTGAGGAATCATTACTTCGTTAGTCCTGGAAATTTTCAGTCATCAACTTTTCAAATGTTGCTGCACCATCATTTTTCTTATTCTTTTCTTCTAAAACTTTTATTAGATGATCTTTCTATCCTTCAAGTTTTTAATAAACTGGTTCATATTTTTCATCATTTTATCTCCCTGACCTGAATTCAGGCTGAATTTAACAGTATTATTATTTAAGTATTTAATGGTTGATTTAATGGTTGATGACCATTAAACCAAATCCTTTTAACCAGCTATGGCCTCCATCCCCCACTTTCTGAATGCTTTACTGCTAACTGCCTCCTGAGTTATTTTCAGAGCCTGGATCAGGCTGAGTCTAGAATTTCATATAAAATGTTTCATTTGTTTAGCTTTCTTCCCTTAAGGATTCCGATAGACCGAACTTTTGGTTCAGGGTCTTCAGGGAGAACTCTAATTAAGGCAAGCACTATTTTCTGATTAATTCTCTTTATGATTATATCCACTTTAGATTATATTTCATCTTTTGTGTTGTTATTTTATGAACTCACACACACATACAGACACGCACACGCACATGCATTTCAGAATTTCCAATTGGTTCTTCTTTCTTTGGCAATTAGCAGAATTTATCTAATAAATAAGAAGTCCCAGACTCCAAGTGGCTCCAGGATAGACTAATTCATTCACTTACAAATACAGAAGCATCAGTGATGTAAAGCAGAAATGTGAGCCAATTTCTAAAAAAGGCATCAGTAGGGGAAAGGTATACTGGAAATTTACTTGTCCAGGAGACTACACTAGGCCAGATCATGGACTCTCTGGTTTCATTTTTAGAAATATTTTTTGTAAATTTTATTTTTTAAAATTATACTGTAAAATTTACCTTTTTGGTGTGAAGTTCTCTGAATTTTAACACATACATAGATTTGTGTAATGAACACTGCAACCAGGATTTAAAACCTTACCACCATGTAAGTCTCTTTACCCTCCTCCCTATATGTTAGAGTTGGCATGTATTACATCTCCTTATGTTGAAAATCCCAGTGGACAATGGTATAATTTTTGCACCCAATCATCAAATATACCATACAGGACCAATGGGAGAAGAATCTATTTATTTACTCAGATGGAAACCAACCTGTGAAAATGCTGAGATGGTGGTGGTAGATAGGGGCTGGAAGGCAGTGATTTGCTATGTCGTAGTGCTACAACTGTAAAACCTAGATCCCAGATATTGATCACATAAGGGAAGTGGCTTTGTGTCCCTAACTATGAATGTTGAGATGGCAGAGCAGAGTTGGAGGCTCAGTTTGTAATACACAATATATTTGTGATTGCGCTGCTGATCATGTGGCAGGTGAGATTAGTGGTTCCCCATTTTACAGTTTATAAGCTACGCAACTTAGGGACTTGTTCCCTGTCTCTGAGGGCTCTGCTGGGTCTCTCTTCACTATCCCAGAAGGCAGTGGGCAATACCAGCACTACGTAACTCCTATTGTCCCCATCTCTGTAAGCTTTATCAGTTACATGTTTCAGGTCAGGTGTATATACTTTTGTTTTTAAACCATCTTTTGTTTAGTATTACCTATTGATACTTACTGATATCCCTATACTCATCAAGCTGTTACAGAAATCTTTTTTCTTCAATAATATTTCCTCTTGTCATGTTATCAAAGCTTATATTAATAGTTGTTTTGAAAGGCTCATTTGAAAATTTTCTTTACCTTTTTTCATTTGTAAATATAGTTGAGAATTACCATAGAAACTGGTAAGACAAACAATTTTCACATATGTGAGAAATTGTGACTTTAGTTATTGTACTTTTTTTTTTCACTTTGTCCCCTCCATCCATTGTCTGATCTTCTCTGTGTCCTGGGAAACTGATCCCTAGAAACTCTTTGCCTTCTGCTTGATTTCAACCAGTCATAGGCACAGAAAGGACAATAGAAAGAGAGAGAGAGAGAGAGACTATGGTATTCATCCCCTCTGCTCTTTCCTGCCTTGTGCAGTTCTGGAAGTGGCTACACAGCATGTATTGCGCAGCTTCCCTTCAATCTCCAGCTCTCGACAGGCTCTGTAATAATCTTCACACCTCCGCCTTGTCTTGCCCCATTGATTTTAAGGGTAGGCTGAGGAAACAGGTGCAGAAAATGGGATTCCTTCATTTAATGAAGGCAACTGGATTCCTCTTCACCATAGGAGATGGGAGACAGGTAGTCTTTGGCATGCCATGACACTCATTTTCATTGGTTGGAGTGTGAGATGACGGTGTGCTGATAGATTGCAGGCTGTTTCTTCTGTCCTGGGAATGCTACTTCTGATTTTCCTAGACAGCATACACAAAGAAAAACATAACGTAAAATCTTTCAACTCCCAACTCAAGACATTATAGATAATCATAAAGTCTTTTGAGAGGCCTTAAAGGAATTCCCTAGACTCATGTAGCAATAGGGAAGATATGGTTAAGAATCGAGTGCAAAGCCTGATTGTCTGGGTTGATAAGTTGCAAAAACTGTTAAATATACAAACTCTCCAAGTCTATTGTACTAATAAAAAGCCAACACTGGGCAAAAAGAGGGATGAAAATATGAAGCTGATCATTTTGAACACCAAATCTCTGTGAACTTTCCTTGCTAGTAAAAGCAGCCTCTTTTAGATATGATGATAGTGGAAGATGCTACTGTGGATTGAGTTCCTTGATGTTAGGGAATAATGGGCTTAATACTTATAAGATACAGAGATGGTGATTTCTAAAACATGCATGTTTAGCTCTCCTGTTTGATTGGTAAAAAAGCCAGATAGGCCCTGTAGAATGCCTGTGTATTATTAATCCAGTGGTGAATACAATTATAACTGTAGTCTGTTACGGTATCTTTCTTGTATCAAATCAACTCAGCTTCTAACAGCTTTATGGAACTATTGTCCTAGCAAAAATTTCCTGTTATATACCAGTCAGCAGAGACAATCAGAGGTACTTTGCCTTTGACTAATAGGATTAAATTTATGCTTTCATTTTCTCGACTCCAGGATAAGAAAGCTCTTGATCTTGGCCATAATATAAACATAACATTCTATGGGGACTGTGACCATCCTATAGAACCTCACTATGGTCCATTGCATGTATAACATTATGCTAATTAGATTTGGTGACCAGTAATGATCAAGTATCTAAATGTCTCATCAAGGAACATCTAAGCCAGAGGATGGAGGATACAATTTTAGAGACAGCTGCATGATGATATTTCCAAGGATTGAGTGGTCTCAGAAATGTCAGGGTACCTTCTCTTATGTGAGAAAGAGGTTGCTGTACTTTGTACTGCTCCACATAAAACAATTGCAATAATTAGTGGACTTCTTTGAGTACTAAAGTCAACATATTTCAAATTTAGAAATGCTATTTCAACCTATTTACTGACCAAACTGCAGATTTTAAAGGGGAATCAGAAGAGAAGGATCTGCAATAGGTCAAGATTTCAGGACAAACTTTCTTGACCCAGTAGATCGAATCGTACTTAAAGTATAGAAAGAGATGCTACATAGAACCTCTGCTTCTTGACAAAGAGAGAACAAGAGTACAGACTCCTAGGATTTTGGAGGAAGTTTTTCCTGTGCATTGCATTCTGTGGCTAATGAGAAACATAACAATAGATCTCACACCAGAACTAAAACACTATATTTCCTGGTCGAAAATAATGTCTTCTTGTTTGTTTGGATGATCTCTAGATATTCCAATGTTTGACAGAATAATATCTCCGATGCTTAAACTGTGTTGGGCTGTATCTACAGTTGGATAGGTAACTTTTCTGTGTATCAGAGGCTCTTGGCTAGAGACCCCTCAAGGGCTACCCTGTTGGATAAATCAATTTATGATCTAAATCTCACAAGGAGAAGCTATAGTTTTGACATCCTTTTTATCTCCTTTTCTGGAAAGTTCTGAGCTGGCTCCTTATATGCTCTGTATCATATGTATTAAGCAGTCTTTTGTCAATTGCAAGAAATCCCCATTCCCACCTCCCAGTATTAAAAAAAAAACCTTTTAACAGAAAATAAAGATGGAAACATCATCAATGTCATAATATTTGGCTTTTTGATCTAAAAGTCATAACTATACAGCCTTATAAGAGGGAGATTTCTTTAAAACTCTATCTAGGAACTTTGTCAAATTACTTTGTACCCTTAGGGGTTAAATTATTTTTAGGGGGTACGGTTGTCACACAGTCCATGAGATTTAGGTCTTTTCTCTTTTCCAAATACAATTCTATTTACATGAGGCGTGTAGCACCCTAGCAACACTATCCTGCCTTGCACTAGCCTGCACAGTTTCAGAAGGTGGTTAAGGGTGGGATAAAAAAGGCATAATGTCTCCCATTAGGATTATTAAAGTATAACTCTAATCCCTCCAATGGAGTCTGTTCACTCCCAGTAAACTCCCTTCAAGACTATTAATAATAATAAAAGAATGTTATATTTGGTCTTTGGTTCATGGTAGAGTCATCACAAGAGGTATATATCAAATTAGTAAACTGTAATTTAAATGCTTAACATTGATTGACTACACTGCCCCCAGAAGATGACTTTTTAAACTCCCCTGGATATGCTATTGCTCTAGTGCCTTAGCTCTTTTCCTGAAGCTTAGGATGGGTTTTGAGACCATATGTCTAGCTTTTTGTACCAAATTGCAAAATAAATGAGAAAAAATGAGCAAATAATGTAGGCCAGGCACAGTGGCCCATGTCTGTAACCCCAGCATCTTGGGAGGCCTAGTTGGGAGGATTGCCTGAGGCCAGGAGTTCAGACTGGGCGACATAGTGAGACCCTGCCTCTAAAAACAAACAAACAAAAATAGCCAGGCATAGAGGCCTGTGCCTGTATTCCTAGCTATTCTGGAGGCAGAAGTGGTGGAAGGATTACTTGAGCTCAGGAATTTAAGGTTACCATGAGCTATGATTGGGTCACTGTACTCCTTCACTCCAGCCTGGGTGATAGAGTGAGACCCTGTCTCTACACAAAAGAAACAACCTCCCCCCCAACAAAAAAAAAAGCAAAAACCTAGCAGCACATACAGCAAACCTGTTGTATAAACACAGCAAATGTTTATAATGAGAAACTTACTGAAATAAGAGGACTAGTATATTTGTGGCACTCTGGAAAAGCCCACAGGAATCTAACAAAGCTAGATGTCATTTTCTGAGAGAGGGTCTCTGGCTGAAAAAGCACCATGGCATGACTTGAATTGAATTGTAGATCAAATAATGTAGTCATAGCTGTATAATGTAACATAACTTAGGCCATCAGTACTGATCTGTTTATTTTTTGGCTAGGAGAGCACAAGTCCCTCTTCTGTGATGAAGAATTGGGGCCCACGCCTTGCCCTTATAGACGTGTGACAAAAAAAGCCACTGCCTTCCAACCCTGATCCACCACTAGCACAGCATCCTCATAGAATTAAACATCTTTAGTATTTGGCTGTATCTCTTTTCCGTGGAGCAATTTGAGTTTTCAGTTGGTTCTGCCCTGTAAGCAGTCCACACCTTCTCAGAAAGACCACTTGCAGGGGATCAGATATAGAAACAATTAACTCTTCTTATCTCTCATGCAGAATTGCTGAAGAGGCCAGGCACAGTGGCTCATGCCCATAATCCGAACTATTTGGAAGGCTGAGGTGGGCAGATTGCTTGAGCCCAGGAGTTTGAGACCAGCCTGAGCAACATAGTGAGACCTCATCTCTTTTTAAAACATAAAATTAAAAAAAAGAAACTATAGAATTGCTGAAGAGATATAATGAGAAACGATTCTGTGATTTGAAAGAAACAATAAAACAACTTTTGGAGATGACATGTTTACATGGTAGATGATCCCTTTGTAAAAAAAAAAAAAAGATAGTATTGAGAATGCATAAGTTTGTATATTGATGGTTCAGCAGCAATGATAGGAAGGTGTAAAAGCTTTACACAATAAGTTCAATTTGAAAACTCTAAAATTGAAGTAATACATTTTTCTATTCACAGACACTCTTTTATATGTAAAGGTTTGCCTGGAGTTCTGGAATCCATAATAAAAATGTTGTCAAAATGATACATCTATTAAAATTCAAGCCTCTACACTCCAATTCTATTTTTAGTTTTATTTAAAGCAATGGGAGCAGAACACAACATTCCACTGTTTTATACTGAAGTATGCTGATTGTAAAAAGAAATTTATCAAGAGTTTGTAAATTAAAAGTATTATGTAAGGAAGTCACTATATGCAGTCCATGCTTAAGAATTAGGGGGTTATGGTTGACCTCCATAAAGGCAGAGTATATACATAAATTATTTAAATTTATCTACATGGACTATTCTCTTTAATTATTCAATCATTTTCTTATTAGTATGGATTCAGGTTACTTACTTTACACTTTGAGTAAGTATCCATAATACTTTATGGGTAGCTCAAATGGGTCCATCTTGGCTATGGAGAGCTCTTTTACTTGGCTCTTATGTGTCATTAACATAATCTCATTATTGTATTTTCTCCTTTCTTCTCTCTCTCCTTACATCCCTTCCTCTTTCCTCCCCTCATTCATGCACCTTCTTACTTTCTGGCATTACAGTATCTTCTAGGCTTATGTTTTATACTTCCTGCCCCAATTCTAGAATCAGCTTTGTTCTAAGAAGCCCTGGTTCATTTTATTGGAGAATGGCATTAGAAACCTAGGTCTGAGCACTAGGTGTGCTCACTGCTACTGGAATGTCCTAGTTTCTAAGACCTGTCAATTGACAGAGCAAATAAATATATATGCGTATACTAATCCATGTATTTATATATAACTATTTCTATCTGTACCTATATTAAGCAAAATACGAGTTTATCCTGAGGTCTCTAGCTCTGTTATATTACTCCGTGAATAATTTTAGTCTTCTCCCCTTGCTTCCATTCCAACATTAAGAAACCTGGCTTCCCACCATCTGCCAGCCATGGACTTTACTGTTCAAGTGCAGTACAGATTTATAATGGTTGCAGAATGTTAAACTGTACCCCTGTGGAGGGAAACAATGTTATCATCTGTAGTATAGTGTTTATGTACTGTCCCTTTTGATTTTAGTCTTACAATTTCTGCTCACTTCCAAAATTACTTAGGTGAGCCTCATTTTCACCAAGCTTCTTCTGAGATCGCTTCATATACTTGTGATACAGTTATGTTATTTTGTCCCCATCTGTATTTTGGCTTAGGATCCTTCAACCTCCTAAATGATTTACTTTTATTTTTTATTTTAATTTTTTTAGAGACAAGGTTTGCTCTGTTGCCCAGGGTAGAGTGCAGTGGCACAATCATAGCCCATGTTATGTAGCCTTGAACTCCTGGGCTCCAGCAATTCTGCACCTCAGCCTCCCAAGTAGCTAGAACTACAGGCACATGTCACCACATCCAGATAATTTAATTTAATTTAATTTTTTTTTAAAAGAAGAGGTCTTACTATATACCCAGGCTAGTGTCAAACCCTGGCATCTAGTGATCTTCCTGCCTTGGTCTCTCAAAGTGCTGGAAGTACAGGCACAAGCCATCATGTCTAGCCCCCTAAAAGATTTTTAAAATTTGCATCTATTAGGGTCCACTCTGTGTGCTGTGAATTTCTATGATTTTGACAAATATATAATGTCACGTATCTACTATTACAGCACCACACAGAAGAGTTTCACCACCCTATAAAATTCCTTGATTTAGCCCTCCCCCTCCCTCCAAACTCTTGCAACCACTGATCTGTTTACTATCTCTATTGTTTTGCCTTTTTTTAAGGATATCATGTAAATATAATTATAGCGTATCTAGCCTTTTCAGACTGACTTCTTTCACTAGAAGTATAAATTTAAGATTCAGCTTTGTTATTCACATGGCTTGATAGATTATTTTTAGTTATTAAATAATATTCCATTATATAGATATACTGTACTTTGTTTATCCATTCGCCTATTAAATAACATTTTGGCCGCTCATCACTTTTGGCAACTGTGAATGAAAGCTGCTATTAACCTGGAGTGCAGATTTTTAAGTGGAAGTGTTTTCAGATCAGTTGGGTAAATAATGAGGAACACGACTGCTGGATTGTATGGTGAATATGTTTGGTATTGTAAGAAACTGCTAAATGGTCTTCCAATGTGGTCATATCATTTGCATTTCCACCAACAATGGCTGAGAGTTCTTGTTCCATATCTCCTCCAGCAATTGCTATTGTCAATTTTTAGACCGTAGTTATTCTGCTACTTGTGTAGTGATATCTCATTGTTTTATTTTACATTTCTCTAATAACAAATAAGGTTGAATATCATCCCATTTGCATATTTGCCATTTGTAGATTTTCTTTGATGAGGTGTCTATTTAAACTCTTGCCTACTTTTTGTTTTTTCTTATTGTTGAGTTTTAAATATTTATATATTTTGTATAAAAGTCCTTTATCAGATATATTTGGCAAATATTTTTGTGTAAAGTCTGTGTCTAAGGTTTTTTTTCTTTTTCACATATGAATATCTAAAGGTTCTGTAGCAGGATGAGCCACAGACAAAACCTCTCAGACACCGAGATAGTGAAGGGAGTGGCTTTAATCAGCTGGGAGCATCGGCAGGCTAGCATCTTAAAATCCGAGCTCGTCAGGTGCGTAATAGATGTAGTTTATCTAATCTACAGTTCCAACACCATTTCTTGAAAAGACTATCCTTTTTCCATTGAATTGCCTTTGCACCTTTGTCAAAATCAGTTTATATATGTATATGGTTTTATTTCTAGACCTTCTCTTCTGTCCCACTGATTTATGTGTCTTGATTACTGTAGCTTTGTAATAAGTATTGAAATTAGGTAGTATAAGTTTTTCAACTTTGTTCTTCAGTATTGTGTTGGCCATTTTAGATCCTTTGCTTTTTTGTATAAATTTTAAATAAGTTTGTCAATATCTACAGAATAGCCTACCAGAATTTTGATTAGGATTGAGGTCAAGTTAGGAAAAACTGATATCTTAATAATTTTGAGTCTTCTAACCCATAAGCACAGAATATATGGTCTTTATACCAAAGTACTTCAATTTTGGGATGCTATTGTAAATGATATTGCTTTTTAAATTTCAAATGCCAATTGTCCAATGCCAGTGTAAAGTAAAGCAATTGACTTCTGTATGTTGACCTTGTATCATGTGAATTTGATATTTCTTGCTTATTACTTAAAGGAGGCTGTTGTAGATTCTTTGGGAATTGTTACATTGAAAATCATGCCATCTTTAAATAAAGATGGTTTATGTTACTTCATTTCCAAACTGTATAACTTTTATTTCATTTTGTTGCCATATTCCACAAACTAGGATTAGTCGCCTCCAGCAATTCCTCAAAATTATCAGTATATGGCTCCAGGGGCTTTGGTTCCAGGTAAGCAGGTCTGTCCTGTGTGTCTTTAGGTACACATGTCTTTTCATATTTTGGGGTTTTGGTTTGTCTAGTGATGTATAGTTCTGTGATGAGTCCAAAAACAGTCACTGATTTTCAGTTTGTCCAGCTTTTTCTTGTTAAGGTTGGGGGTGATGACTTCTAATCTCTTTACATGTCAGAGCTGAAACTGGAAGTCTCTTAAAATATTTAATCTGAAAAACTTCTAAAGGAATATAAATACATTTGAATTATCACACAGTTTTATAATATTTTATATATCAGTGAAAGACAAGGAAGAACTATTAATATTGAAGAATAATCAAACTCTAAAGTACAATGATAAGAGATGGAACTAACCAAAATCATGTTAGTGCAGAAAAAGAAGTGTTCATTCACAGCTAAATAAAACAAAAAATATTCTGCAGTTTTCTATCATGTGTGGAAAAAAGTTTCTTATCATGGTAACTACCAAGAATTTGAAGATGTGTTATTAATATATCTTGATCAGAAATTGTGTGTAGACATTACAAATGTTAAAAAAATTATCATCATGAAAACAAACTCAAGTTTCTCTTTAAATTTGTTTTAAGATTTCCTTTGGAAGTTTTATAAGTTATTTATAAGTTATATAAATTATAAAAGTTATTTATAAGTTATATAAATTATAAAAGTTATTTATAAGTTATATAAATTATAAAAGTTATTTATAAGTTATATAAATACACAAGTAAATGTGCCCATTATTAATAATTTGTTTTTGTTAGAACATGTAATTAATTTTTACACCATTTCCCTCTGACTATTTCAAAACTCATCCCAATTTGTCCATTATGTAGTATAGGTATCATGATTTTCTCAGTGTGCCATGAAGAAAAACTTTCTGTGAAAGACTGCTGTAGTATGAAGTATCAGGGGAAGAAAACAGTGGTCATTATTTATTATAGAATGTTGGACAGACACAAAAGTTCATAACCTCTTGGCATTCTGAAAAATGTCTTTCTGCCAGAGAGACCAACATCAAGAAGTATCTTTTTTCAGGGGTCAGTGAAACAGCTCAAAAGTGTTAAAACAGAGAAGTCAGAGTATGGTGTTTTTTTTTTTAAATTATTTATTAAATCTGGGGTAGGAAAAATATGGGTTTGTGTTCCTGAGGAAATACTCATCTTTAGTCTCAGAGCTCATATGTCTACCTTCCCACATTTTAATTTTGGTGGATTGATAGTGAGGACTAGGAAGCAAAGCAAAGCTTCTGGCTGAAGTCAGCAGTGTTGACATCACAAGATACTGAGTAACACTGAAGCTATTTCCTGGAGCAGGAGATCCTTTGTAATGTAGAAAGCTGGGTGTCACCCAGCTAGCTCATGAACTTGTCAAATGGCATAGGACTGCATTCCCTCCACCAGCAGGTCAAGCTCTGCAGCAAAAGCACTTCTATTCATGGAGTAGCAATGAAGGACCAGAGAATCCTTGTGTTCTGGTCTTGCATTGCTAGTCAACCTTATGAGAGCTAACCCTGTGCGCTGTTCATAGTGTGTGGCACTGTGTATCCTGTCCCTTTTCTTAACCACAGCTGCACTGATGAGGTTAACTGAGAAGGTTCTATTGGAAGGTCTGATTTCCTATTTCCCTCTTTCCACCTGGATTCCTGATGTAGTAAAGAACTCTGTGGATGATGCTTCCCACATTAAAAAAAAAAAGTTACTCTGGTGATTAGCCTCTCATTGAAATAAGCAACCATATTTAGAATCCTAGAAAGCTTTGATGATACGTTGGAGAATGTAAGAGATGACAAGGTACTCTGATGAGAGGTATTTAAATGTGGAATATTCCTTGGTCTGAGATAATTTAGTAGAAGGAGCCTTGATGACCAATTCTTTATAGGTTTGACATGATTAATAATTTAACTACATTTCTCCTGGGAAAATAAAATACTTGATTAATTTAGCCTTTGGAAATGTCTCTCTCATAAAGGCCTTATTTGAAGTTCACTCAAAGCCTTCACTATATTCTCATCCTGTATCTGGTGGACTGTACCCTGAAAGAGCATAGGTTCGGGAGTCTCGAAAATTACAACTTTGAATGACTTAAATCTTTTTCTTCTAGCCATTAATGGATACATCTACCTATGGTCTAGTTTTCTGTTATAGCTTACTCTGGACTGTTTGAATATAATATATACGTAAAGTTTCTGCATTTTGTAAGGAGCTTTGAGTAACTATCTCTCTTCAAGTTGACCTTTGAAACTGTGTATTCCTGATTTACAAGTTGTATATTAGCATGAGTTTACGCAGTATGTATTTACCTTCTAAAACAGGTTCTCCAGTTTCTTCCCTAATTAGAGTCTATTCTTGTTATCAGGTAATATTATGTTGAATTACACAAACGAACAAAGAGTAAGCAAGTTTTTAACAAAATAAGTCCATTATTGCTACAAAGTTCTTTGGAAAATCTACCACAGATATTTGCAGAAAAACAAGTAAAACCTGAAAAACAAGTAAAACCTGAAAAAGAACCAATAATATCTACTGACATGCATAAATCTACTGAAAACACAGAACCTTTCACTACAAAATGAAAGCCAGAATTTTGTGGTTTAGGATTGGCTCTTACATGCCGTGAAAACTCATGTAGGAGGTTGGCTTATCTTACTACAGCAGCTTTGAGTAGGAAGAATTAGCCAAAAGTGAATCAAAAAGGGCGATGTGATGTGGATGAAAGGGCCCTTAACTTTTTTTGCTAAATTCACCAAGGGCTCTATGATGTTCCAAAAGCAATCTTTGCCTCAGCCCTGGCGTTTCTCTTCTTGGCTGTCCAGAAGGAGGTTGTGCTTCTCCCTAGTGGAGGAACCTCTAACATACCTGCAGTCATCCAGTCCCAAAGCTCTAGGCAGCAATGGACCACCATTCCATGTAAGTATGTATGTATGTATGTGTTTATTTATCCATCTATATTTAATAACTGAAAGACTTGAAACAAGATTTCCATGCTCATTTTGAGATGAGTTAAAGACATGGTACTTGAAATTTATTTAGTTTAAAAATGTCAAGTTCATTAAAATATGAGGGCCACTGGTGAGCAGCAGGTCTACATAACTATTGAAAACCTCTATCCTTTTCAGTGTTAATGAGAGTATGGGCTTTTAAAACAACAGCAGGTAAACTAGCTTAAGTGGCTAGAAACAAATGCTTTGTTTGACACTGTGATATTTCTAATTGTTCTATTTATTGTGCTACACATTAGCCAGATTATTTGAGTGGGCTTGTTAGTAACAGGCTCATGCACAAGCACACTGAGTGTATGAAGCTGTTAGCATTGCACAGATCATCCACATGCAGCAAACACTGCAGGAGGTACTCACACATTGCTTTCCAGCTTTAATTGGAATTTTATATTAAGAGTTCCCTGTGAAGGGAATATTTAGTCTCAATTGGACAGACAACAGAAAACCACAGTAATGCAATTTTTATCCTTACTGTCAATTCAGCTCAAATGTATCTATTTATTTGTTTATTCCACAATATTGCTATAAAATTAAAAATAATCTTTAAGATATAGAATTTAATTTTATATGATGTGTGTATTCATACATAAATATGTGTGTGCATATATATACATATCATAAATTAAAACTTAATATAAGAGAAGTAATGTAAAAGTGGAAATGGATGAATTTTTAAATACATGATATTGAGAATATTGGTTCCAGGAAAATTCAAAGTAAAATCTCACATCATACCACATACTCAAATAATTTCCAGATAAAGAGCTAACTCTAAAATTTTAAATCATAACATGCTGGAAAATATTTAGAAGCAGAAAGTAATGGAAAAATTTTAGTCCTAAATTGATAGGTTTTACAATGTAAATTTAAGAATTTCTGTACAATACAAAATAATAAGTAGTATTAATTATGTAATAAGTTAGAGAAATAGTTTTAATAAATATGTAAACAGTTAATCTTAATATATTAATAGTATTCATAAATGAATAAGAAATAAGCAAAGGACTTAAGCAGACTAATTACAAAAGAAGAAATTGAAATGATCAAGAAATGGAAAATTATTTAATTTCATTTATAATAAAATAAATAATTGAATATTATCACTTTTTTACTCATATTGGTAAATATTTGAAATGTTCTTACAAGATATTGAATTTTACTTTCTTCATGTTAACATCTAACATTTATATGTGCTCAATATTTGCTAGGAACTATTCTAAGCACTTTGCATATATTCAATTTAATTCTCTTAATAAACCTATGAGACTGGTATCATTATTATTACCTTTTTACAGATAGAAAAAGTGAGGCACTAAGAGATTAAATATTTTCCAGGATCACAAAGGTAACAAGTGGTGAAGCTGGTACCAGAACTTGGACAGTTTCTCTTTTGTTTTTGAGCTCTCAACCTCTCTACTACCTGCTCCTCAACTCTTAGCAAGAGTGAAGTGAGAGAGATATCACATGTGCTCGTCAGAGCATATTTGGACACGCCATGTCTGAAAAACAATTTATATACAAACACAGACATACATACATCACAGTCCCATAGAACGTTAACTACATAACACAACGAAAGCCTAAATATTAAGTATTGAAAATCAGAGCACACAGTTTTACATACAATATGATATCTATATAAAGTAAGTCATGGATAACAGGGTAAAAATTTTTAAGTGATTTTTTAAAGCACACTTTTCTGTTTTAGAATTTTCCTAGCATGACTAACATAACCTTTTTTGCTCAAAATCTCTGTGAAATCCTATTTAAATGTTAAAACACAAAGTAGTAATACATGGGCTTCTTAAACATTTAGAGGGATTACAGGCAAACAATTTACTGGGTGTAATGGGGGGGCTATCTCTTTAATAGTTATCTTTTGCTTAAATGCCCATTTAGGTAGGATGAAAATAACAAAAGCCTTAAGCTCATGTCAGTTACATTTGACTCACTAATTCAACAAATAGTGACTGTGGACATTCCATATGGACCAAACATTCTTCTAAGAATACTGCAGAGGACAAAAATATGCTGAGTTTCTCTTCTTGTGGCATTTTTATTCCAGTATGGAGAGACAAACAATAAACAAATATAAGATAAAGAAGAATAAAACAGGTGACTCGAAATTGATGGGTGATGCTATTTTCTGTAGGTTAGTTGGAAAAAGACATTCACATTAAGTGATGTCTATGCAGACAGAAAAAAGTAAGACAAGAAATCTAGGGAAAAGCATTCCTCACAGAGGGAAGAGTAACAATGGATCCCTGGGGTGAGCATATGCTTGATTTGCTGGGAAACAGCAAGGTGGCCATATGGCACAAGCAAAGTTACAAGGGGAATGGAAAGGAGATTGGAGACAAATGCAGTCTATGCAGGGCTCTATAGGTCATTATGAGTACTTTGCATTGCTCTCTAAAGGAGTGTAGGCTTTGACAAGAGAAGTGATGTGATCTGACTTAATTACAAAAATTCATTCTGGATGTTGGATGGAGAAGAGATTCTGGAAGGCAAGGATGGAAGCAAGGCAACCAGTGAGGAGACTATTGCAGTGATTTCACATGTGAGGTAATTGGAATTTGACCTAGGTTCGCAGCAAGGGAGCGTGTGATTCGGGATAGATTGTGCAGGTAGACCTAGCAAAATTTGCTGATGGATTGAATATTGGATATGAGAGAAAAAAAGAAGTCAAAAATGACTCTAAGAGGAAAAAAGCAAAGTTAACCTCACTTAAGTGATACAATACCTGTTCTTGCTCTCCCACATCAGAGTCCTATTCCTCTCCATGGTGTCTGAGGCAGCACCTCTGTGATTCCCTGATGTCCTGAGTGATCCTTTTGACCAATCTGTAAGTCTCTTTTTTTTTTTTTTTTTTTTTTTTTTTTTTTTTTTTTGAGACAGAGTTCCGCTCTGTCGCCCAGGCTAGAGAGCAGTGGCGGGATCTCGGCTCACTGCAAGCTCCACCTCCCAGGTTCCTGCCATTCTCCTGCCTCAGCCTCCCGAGTAGCTGGGACTACAGGCGCCTGCCACCACGCCTGGCTAATTTTTTGTATTTTTAGTAGAGACGGGGTTTCACCGTGTTAGCAAGGATGGTCTCAATCTCCTGACCTTGTGATCCGCCCGCCTCAGCCTCCCAAAGTGCTGGGATTACAGGCGTGAGCCACTGCACCCAGCCTGTAAGTCTCTTAAGGAATGATATTGTCCTACTATCATTTCCACCTCTAGCAGCTGGTACAGTTCCTTACATGTAGTAGGTACTCAACATAATATTTTTTGAATGAATATGTTATTTACTTACCTGATTAATTAAATGAATAGTTTTTGGGTTTTGTATATAATTCGTTACGACAGTTTACTCTCTTTTCCAGCGTAGACTCAAATTACCTAAATTAAATGTATTACTGTGATTAATAAGGTTTATTTCATTGTATATTGTTTAGTTTTTCAATTTATTTTCTTAAATTACATAGACTAACTAACATATACTTATTAAATTGGTCTCTAGATCTTTTGGCAAAAGTCCCAGAATCACAAGCTCAGTCAAAATCAAAATAATAAATCAATTCAGAGAGGCATGGAACCTGTTCAATGGTGATGACTAAGTGTTACATATTCTGAGTGCTGGGGACTTCATAAATATTTCCGGTGACTTTATTTTGAAACCTGAGGTGTCTTTTTAACTTAAAAATACATCCAGGGGAACTTCCAAATCTTTCTTTTTAAATAAGTAGATCCCCCTATTCTCTATTCTTCCGTTCTTATATCCAGGTCATCCGAACCTCAAACACAGATTTCTGTGACTTTCTTCTGGTTGATATCTCATCAGCTGCCAGGCTCCTTTTCCTTCTTCCTAACACCTTACTTACTGATTAGTCTTCCTAACCCTCAGGATTCATTGTCATTCCTCCTAGAAAGAATATAAGATAGCTCCCTTTAGCCAAAGGACACTGCTCAGTTTCCTCATCCTGTTTGTTGGGTGCCTTCCATTCTGACCAGTATTTATGGAATGTATCCCTGGGTAAGACATTTCGCTACATCACCTTGCCTCTCTTCTGTGACTACATTGCTCATACTCCTCTGCTCTAGCTAGAGAAGCTTCTTGCTGTTTCCCTTCCTCTCTGTTATTGCAATTATCTGCATGATTCTAATTTCTTATCTACTGATATCTTCACTTGATGAGCAAATTAGAAATTCCTTTTTGCCAATCTGAGAGCTGCATAGCCTTTCACACTGTATTAGAGAATCACCTGCTGCAAACCACCAGCTATCTCAAGCTATCCCCTATGAAGATCTCTCCTTTGAAGTAATGCTGTATTACATTCATTTCAAACCTTTTAAAAATAAATTGTAAAGTTCTTAGAATTTTCATATGTGTTTTATATTTCCAAATAAACAGTAAGTCCTGGGGAAAAATAAGACACATATCTTGTTTTCTTTTTATCCCTATTTTTTCACAGTTACTATGCATAGTTTAGTATGCCGAGACTTGTTAGTAAGCACATATTAATTTGATTAGATTTAAGAAGTATCACAGAGGATGTTAAACGTTTTATATCACATTCCATGTTATGCCTGGGAGCAGGCTTGTGACTTACAAGATTGAGTATTGGCAGCCACTACATATGCATTCATCCTTATGACCTCAGTGTCTTTTTTTATTGAACTTCCTGACACTGATTTAATCTTAGCCTGCAACCTAAATAATTAAGAACCAAACTTTATAAACTATATAAAAGTGAATTTATGATATACATTGTCCATTCATGACATCTACTGCAATATTTTGCAGAGTCAGTATAGCATGGTAATGAGAAAACAGAGACTTTGGAGTCAGTTGAACTGGAAGTAAAATACCAGACTCATATTCTAGGAACAGGCAACATCATTCCTCTACTTCTCTCTTTTTTTTCTATACAATAGTACAAATAATTATTTTGACTATTTTATAGGGTTGTTATAACCCATGCATATAAGGCATGTAAAACAGTGCTTGACACTCAGTGGGTTCTCAATAAGTTTTAGAAATTACTATTGCTACCATTATCATCTTTATTTTTGTTATTAAGGTACATTAATTCAAATATTATATTTTAATAATATCAATAATGGTAAAAATAGTTCTCAATCCATAAGTAAGAGAGAAAAAATTGAGGGCTATGGGCCTCCAAAGAAATAGCTATCAAAAAGCTTTCATATTTTCTTACTTTCTAAAATAGAGCCACCTTAGTCTTCAAAATTATTTGTGAAATAAAGTAGAACAGAAGCCACTAATTCATCTGTCGACAATGAGATATAGAAGTTTATTAAAAATAAACCAAAGAATTATAGAATACAAGTATTAAATTTTAGAAAAGATAGAAATTGAGGGTTATTTAGAGATAACTAGCCTCACATTTTAAAGAATAAAATCTTGAGGATATCATCTACTGTACCAAAATACTATAATTAATAAATCAAATGACAAAAATGATAAAGTTATTTTACGATAAACACTGTCTAAGAAAATAAACAGAAGAGAATAAATGTTTCTGCCAAATAACATAAGAATATTTTATTAACTTGGAAAACATACAATATATCCAGTGAAAACTTTGACATTGAGCACACAAATTTATATCACATCCTGCTGAAATACCACTAAAATGATAGAAATGGGATTTTTAAAAAAGGTGTAAGGCGCATGGACTAAGAGTTGGGAGCGGAGAAGGGGGATGTAAAAAATCCTGTTAGCTGGAAAACAGATGGACAAGTGCTTCAGCAGACTGAAGAAAGCTGGATTTTAAAGCAGCTCTTGAGAAGACACCTGACTTGCCAAAAAATTTTTCCCAAAGGCTCACCAGAGGTTTTGGTGGCACTTGTTACCTCTGATAATAGAGATGAAGGAGGGGCTAAAACCAAAATGATTGGTTGAAACACTCTTTAAGAAACAATTACATACCCAAGCTCCCTTCTCCCATTCCACCTAACTTGGTCACTACTCTTCTCTCATACTAGCAAAAAAGAGTGATTTATTTTCTTAAATGGTAAAACAGAGGTACTGACAATTTCTGCATAATTCAGATGAGATCTCTAGTTTTCTTCCTCTACTCCAGTCTCTAGCACTGGCAGCCAGGCTTATACCTCCCAGGCAGAGATGGCTGACTATTCTATGCAGACGTAACAGTCAGAAGGAAGGTGCCCCTGCAAACTGACCAAAATGGGTTACCATACAGAAAATTCCATGGTCAATAAAAAAAAGGCCCCAATCAGCTTTCTAGTGCTTCAAAGTTAAATCAACAATAACAACAGCTCTAAGGAAGTAAATTTATGGATGTAAAAAAATCTCTCCCCCAATTACTATTATGTGCATAATCGATGAATTATATGTAATTGTACAATATCTAGAAAGTCTGTGAAGAACACCCTGATGTTTAAAAGAAGAATTATTCAAAGATCAGAAAGAGCTCTTGGAAATTTAAAATATGCAATAAAAAACTAAAAACCTCAATAAAAGAATTGCAAGATAAAAATGGAAGAAATCTCCCAGACAGTAAAACAGTTTCTAAAACAGAGAAGAGAAATAGAAGAGAAAATATAAAGAAATTAGAAGGCTATTCCAGGAAGTCCACCATCTAAAAAATAAGAGTTCTAGAAAGAAAGAAAAGTAAATGGTGGAAAAGAAATCATTAAAAAAAATTGATTTGAGTAAATTTTCTAGAACAGGGATATGAGATTCCAGCATTTTCTATCAATTCCCTGAGTGGATGAAAATAACTGATCAAGCACATCACTGATATATTTCAGAACATCAAAGAAAATGAGAAGATTCTGAAACAAAAATCAGTGTGATACAAAGTATCTCATATTAGAATGGCATGGTATGTCTTAGAAACATTGTTAGAAGCTAGAAATACTGGAGAATGGCCTCAAAATTCTAAGGAAAATAGTGACTCAGGACACTCCTGAGGGATGTGCTCCACAAAAAAGAGAGTAAAACCAAGAAAGAGAAAGACAAGTGATTCATAAACCTGGGACTCAACCCAAGGGAAAAGGCAAGAAAATTTCCTGGTTGATGGTGGAGGGAAATCTCAGATTAGTTTCCCCCAAAGCAGAGCCTGCAACAAGGACTTGGGTATGGTTTATGTGGGAGATAATCCCAGCAGACAGGAATGAAGGAAAGGGTGAGTGAGAAAAAGAAAGAGGAAAAGTCAATATAAGAATACCTTTACTGGGGGAAGACATTATTGAAAATGGCAGATAGGAGACAGCGCTAACTTGTAGTTCTCACTTGGAGTGACACAGCAGTGTGTGGAGACCCAGATTGTGAACTTATTCTCCAAGAACTACTGCAGGAACATATCAGGACAGCTGAGAGAATCCACAGACCCTTTGAAGGAGGTGGGTTGCTGCTGCAGGCTCCATGGGACAGCCAAGGAACTGTGAGTCTGTCTGCTTTCTCACCTGGGGGGCTTGTAGCCTGGGGTGAATTCTCAGCTCTGCTCACCGGCTGCCTAGAAATAAACTCAGTGCTGTTGCAGGGACACAGTGAGAGTGAGACTGGCCTTTTGGACTGCAGGCTGCCTGGGAGCTGGCTGAGGCCTGTGGCTGCCACTTTCCCCCACTTCCCTGGCAATCTGTGTGACGCAGCAGGGATGGCCATAATCCTCCTGGGAATATAACTCCATTGGCCTGGGAACCACATGCTGGACCCCCACAGCAGCCACAGCCAGCCTCACCCAAGGAGAGTCTGAGCTGAGAAACAACTAACCCTGCCTCCATCCGATGGTCTTTCTCTACCCACCCTGGTAGCTGAAGACAAAGGTCATAGTCTCTTAGTAGCACTATGGCCCTGCCCACCACCTGAGAAACCTGAATACTTATCCAAAGGCAATGTTGGGCAAGTTTGTATCCTCCCTGTACAATCACAGATGATGTGCTCTTGAAAGTGCCACCTCCTAGATGGAGGCCAACCAACACAAAACCAGAGCACTTAACAAAAACACAACCAAGGATCTTCACAGAGTCCACTTCACTCCCTTGCTGCCTCCACCAGAGCAGGTGCTGGTATCCATGGCTGAGAGACCTGAAGATGGATCACATCACAGAACTCTTTGTGGACACTCCCCAGTACCAGCCTGGAGCCTGGTAACTCCGCTGGGTGGCTAGATCCAGAAGAGAAATAACAATCACTGCAGTCTGGCTCTCAGGAAGCCCCATTCCTAGGGGAAAGGGAAGAGCATCATATCAAGGGAGAACCCCTGTGGGACAAAAGTATCTGGGCAGCAGCCTTGAGTCTCAGATCTTCCCTTTGACATAGTCTACCCAAATGAGAAGAAACCAGAAAAACAATTCTGGTAATATGACAAAACGAGGCTCTTTAACGCCCCCAGAGGATCACAATAGCCCACCAACAATGAATCCAACCAAGAAGAAATTTCTGAATTTCCAGAAAAAGAATTCAGAAGGTTGATTATTAACCAATTAAGGAGGCACCAGAGAGAGGTGAAGTCCAACTTAAAGAAATCAAAAACATGATACAGGATATGAATGGAAAAATCTCTAGTGAAATAGATAGCATCGATTAAAAAATAACAATTTCAGGAAATCAAGGACACACTTAGAGAAATTAAAAACGCCCTGGAAAGTCTCAGCAATAGAATCAAACAAGTAGAAGAAATCACTTCAGAGCTTGAAGATAAGGCTTTTGAATTAACCCAATCCATCAAAGACAAAGAGAAAATAATTTTAAAAACATGAACAAAGACTCCAAGAAGTTTGTGATTATGTTAAATGATCAAACCTAAGAATAATTGGTATTCCTGAGGAAGAAGAGAAATCTAAAAGAAATCTAAAAGAGAAATCTAAAAGAGAAATATACTTGAGGGAATAATCGAGGAAACTTCCTTGGCCTTGCTAGAGATCTAGACATTCAAATACAAGAAGCTCAAAGAACACCTAGGAAATACATCGCAAAAAGACAATTGCCTAGGCACATAGTCATCAGGTTATCTAAAGTCAAGAGGAAGGAAATAATCTTAAGAGCTGTGAGGCAAAAGCATCAGGCAAGCTATAAAGGAAAACCTATCTGATTAACAGCAGATTTATCAGCAGAAACCCTACAAGCTAGAAGGGATTGGGGTCTGATCTTCAGCCTCCTTAAAACAATTATCAGCCAAGAATTTTTATCCAGTGAAACTAAGCTTCATAAATGATGGAAAGATACAGTCTTTTTATGACAAACAAATGCTGAGAGAATTTGCCACTACCAAGCCAGCACTACAAAAACTGCTAAAGGGAGCTCTAAATCTTGAAACAAATCCTCACAATACACCAAAATAGAATCTCTTTAAAGCATATATTTTATATGACCTATAAAATAAAAATACAATGAAAAAAAGGTATTCAAGCAACAAATAGCACAATGAATAGAATAGTACCTCACATATCAATACTGACATTGAATGTAAATGGACTAAATGCTCTACTTAAAAGATACAGAATGGCAGAATGATTCAGAACTCATCAACCAAGTATCTGCTGTCTTCAAAAGAGTCACCTGACACATAAGGACTCACATAAACTTAAGGTAAAGGGGTGAAAAAAGGTATCCCATGCAAATGGACAGTCAAAGTGAGCAGGAGTAGCTATTCTTATATCAGAACAAACAAACTTTAAAGCAACAGCAGTTAAAAAAGTCAAAGAGGGACATTATATAATGATAAAGGGACTAGTCCAACAGGAAAATGTCTTCATCCTAATTATATATGCATCTAACACTGGAGCTCCCAAATTTATACAACAATTACTACTAGACCTAAGAAATAAGATAGATGGCAACACAATAATAGTGGGGGACTTCAATACTCTATAGACAGCACTAGACAGTCATCAAGACAGAAAGTCAACAAAGAAACAAGACAGAAAGTCAACAAAGAAACAAACTGTACCCTAGAATAAATGGACTTAACAGATATTTACAGAACATTCTACTCAACAACTGCAGAATATACATTTTATTCATCAGCATATGTAACATTCTCCAAGATAGAACATATGATAGACCACAAAACAAGTCTCAACAAATTTAAGAATATCGAAATTATATCAAGTACTCTCTCAGACCAGAGTGGAATAAAGTTGGAAATCAACTCCAAAAGGAACCCTCAAAATCATATAAATACATGGAAATTAAATAATCTGCTTCTGATTGATTGTTAGGTAAACAATGAAATCAAGATGGAAATTAAAAACTTCTTTGAACTGAAAAATAATAGTGACACAACCTATCAAAACCTCTGGGATACAGCAAAAGCGGTGCTAAGAAGAAATTTCATAGTCTTAAATACATCAAAAAGTCTGAAAGAGCACAAACAGACAATCTCAAGTCACACCTGAAGGAACTAGAGAAATAAGAACAAACCAAATCCAAACCCAGCAGAGGAGAAGAAATAACCAAGATCAGAGCAGACCTAAATGAAGTTGAAACAAAAAAAATTCAAAAGATAAATGAAACGATAAACCTGTTCTTTGAAAAGATAAAATTGTTAGACCATTAGCAAGATGGACCAAGAAGGCAGAAGATCCAAATAAGCTCAATTACAAATGAAATGGGAGATATTACAACCCATAACACAGAATTGCAAAAGATAATTCAAGGCTACTATGAACACCTTTATGCACATAACCTAGAAAACCAAGAGGGGGTGGATAAATTTCTGGAAATATACAACCTTCCTAGATTGAGCCAGCAGGAAATAGAAACTCCAAACAGACCAATAACAAGCAGCAAGATTGAAATGGTAATTAGAAAGTTACTAAAAAAAAAAAGTTCAGGACCAGAAGGATTCACAGCTGACATCTATCAGACATTCAAAAAGAATTGGTACCAATGCTATTGATACTATTCCAAAAGATAGAGAAAGAGGGAATTCTCCCTAAATCATTCTGTGAAGCCAGTATCACCCTAATAGCAAAACCAGGAAAGGACGTAGCAACAACAACAACAACAAAACCACCACCACCAACAACAACGAAAAACAACTATACACCAATATCCCTGATGAACATAGATGCAAAAATCTTCAATAAAATACTAGCTGACTGAATCCAACAGCATATCAAAAAGATAATCCACCATGATCAATTGGGTTTCATACCAGGGATGCAGGGATGGTTTAACATCAGCAAGTCAATAAATGTGATACACCATATAAACAGCATTAAAAACAAAAATCACATGATCACCTCAATAGACACAGAAAAAAGCATTTGACAAAATCCAGCGTCCCTTTGTGATTAAAACCCTCAGCAAAATTGGCATAGAAGGGACATAACTTAAGGCAATAAAGACCATCTATGACAATCCCACAGCCAACATTATACTGAATGGGGAAAAATTGAAAGCATTTCCCCTGAAAACTGGAACAAGACAAGTATGCCCACTTTCACCACTTCTATTCAACATAGTATCGGAAGTCCTAGCCAGAGCAATCAGACAAGAGAAAGAAATAAAGGGCATTTGAATTGGTAATGAGGAAGTCAAAGTGTTGCCATTTGCTGATGACATGACTGTATATCTAGAAAACCCTAAAGACTCATCCAAAAAGCTCCTAGAGCTGGTAAATGAATTCAGCAAAGTTTCAGGATACAAAATTAATGTACACAAATCAGTAGCTCTGCTATAAGCCAACAGCGACCAAGCTGAGACTCAAATCAATAACTCAACCCTTTTTACAATAGCTGCAAAAAGTGAAAATAAAAATCAAATACTTAGAAATAAACTTAACCAAGGAGGTGAAAGGCATCTACAAGAAAAAACACAAAACACTGCTGAAAGAAATCATAGATGATACAAACAAATGGAAACACATCCTATGCTCATGGATGGGTAGAATCAATATTGTGAAAATGATCATACTGCCAAAAGCAATCTACAAATTCAATGCAATTCCCATCAAAATACCACCATCATTCTTCACAGAACTAGAAAAAACGATCCTAAAATTCATATGGAACCAAAAAAGAGCCTACATTGCCAAAGCAAGACTAAGCAAAATTTTTTTTAAAAAAGCAAACAACAACAACAAATATGGAGGCATTACATCACCTGACTTCAAACTGTACTATAAAGCATAGTCACCAAAACAGCATGATACTGGTATAAAAATAGGCATATAGACCAATGGAACAGAATAGAGAATCCAGAAATAAAGCCAAATACAGTTAACTGATCTTTGACAAAGCAAATAAAAACATAAACTTGGGAAAAGACACCCTATTCAACAAATGATTCTGGGATAATTGGCAAGTCACGTGTAGAAGAATGAAACTGGATCTTCATCTCTCACCCTATACGAAAACCAACTTAAGGTGGATCAAAGACTTAAGTCTAAGTCCTGAAACCATAAAAATTCTAGAAGATAACATTGGAAAAACCCTTTTAGACATTAGCTTAGGCAAAGACTTTATGATCAAGAACCCAAAAGCAAATGCAACAAATACCTAAAGATAAATAGGTGGGACTTAATTAAACTGAAATGCTTCTGCACAGCAAAATAAATAATTAGCAGAGTAAACAGACATTCCTCAGAGTGGGAGAAAATCTTCACAATCTATACATCCAACAAAGGACTAATACTTAGAATCTACAAGGAACTCAAACAAATCAAGAAGAAAAAAACAAACAATCTCATCAAAAAGTGGGCCGAGGACACGACTACACCATCCTCAAAAAAAGATATACAAGTGGCCAACAAACATATGAAAAAATGCTCAACATCACTAATTATCAGGGAAATGCAAATCAAAACCACAATGCAATACCACCTTATTCCTGTGAGAATGGCCATAATTTAAAAATAAAAAAAAAATAGATGTTGGCATGGATGTGATGAAAAGGGAACAATTTTTTTTTCTTTGAGACAGAGTCTCGCTCTGTTACCAGGCTGGAGTGCAGTGGCACAATCTCAGCTCACTGCAACCTCTGCCTCCCTGGTTCAAGCAATTCTCCTGCCTCAGCCTCCTGAGTAGCTGGGATTACAGGCATGTGTCACCACACTCAGCTAATTTTTGTATTATTTGTAGAGACGGGGTTTCACCATGTTGGCCAAGATGGTCTCGATGCCCTGACCTCGTGATCCACCGGCCTTGGCCTCCCAAAGTGTTGGGATTATGGGTGTGAAAAGGGAACACTTTTACACTAATGGTGGGAATATAAACAATCACCATAGAAAACAGTGTGGAGATTCTTTAAAGAGCTAAAGACCATTTGATCCAGCAATCCCACTCCTGGGTATCTACCCAGAGGAAAAGAAATCATTATATGAAAAAAAACACTTGCTTATGCATGTTTATAGCAACACAATTTGCAATTGCAAAAATATGGAACCAGCCCAAATGTCCATCAATCAACAAGTGGATAAAGAAAATGTGGTGTATATATTTACCATGGAATACTGCTCAGCCATAAAAAGGAACAAAATAATGTCATTCACATCAACCTGGATGGAATTGGAGACCATTACTCCAAGTGAAGTAACTCAGGAATGGAAAACCAAATATTGTATGTTCTCACTCATAAGTGAGAACTATACTATGAGGACACAAAAGCATAAGAATGATACAATGGACTTTGGGGACTCGGGGGAAAGGGTGGGAAGGGGTTGTGGGTTAAAAGACTACACATTGGGCACAGTGTTTACTGCTCAGGTGATGGGTGCACCAAAATCTCAGAAATCGCCACTAAATAACTTATTCAGGTAACCAAACACCACCTGTTCCCCAAAAACCTATTGAAATAAATAAAAAAATTTTAAAAAGAATACCTTTATTGGTCTCACATTGTAAGCAAACATGGTTCAATTACAGAGCACCTCTGTGAGAAGCATCTGTAATGACCCCAAGAATTGTTCCCTTGTAAGAGAGGAGGCTGAAATATTAATCCAGTGGCCACCTTCCCCATTGTTCAATATTAACACTGAATTGTTAACTCTTCCTTACTTCTGGGCCTCATTCTGGAGTAGGTGAGGCAGAGAGTAGAAAGCCCTACCAAGAAAACTTGAGGTGGGATGATGGCATTAGTCTGAGATCTCAGGGCACTTTCTACCCCAGCAACAGCTGAAATCAGAGATGGAGAGAGTATGAGGTGAGACAGCAAGGGTGGCTGCTATAGGCCCATAGGTTCAGGCCCACCAAGCTGCCATCTGTGACAGAAGCAAGTCATAATTCTTCAAAATAGTACTTCAAATTGAAATGGTTGGACTATCTTGACTTTTTAACATAATAAGTGAAGTCACACACAACTGAGGGGAGAGTGTGGGCATGAGTTAGTGATTAGTAAATAGAATACTAAGTAATAAGGAAAAAAGAAAATTATTAACTCTGAGGAAAAAATTTATTAAGCAATAATGAGAAATTGTCATAGTTTCTTACATGCCTCATTAGTGAATATCACTTACAAGGCAATAATGATATACATTTTGAATACTGAGCTAAAAATTATGATACATTGAGTATGCAATTAGGGGTGGGGGGTGAAAGAATGAGGTGTCAATAGACAATGACTAAAAATTTTAAAGTTAAGAAGTAACAACATAAATATATCATTTAGAAATGTTGAATACATCAGGAATATTTTCATATTTCTGCATGGTCAAGGCTTTCTGAACAATGGAAATTGACATGGATAAAGATAATGTCCTTTTTTTCCCTGCCTTCTCCATTTGCTCTTTACACCCTAACTACTTGTCTGCTTCACTGTGAAGCCATCTGCTGCCACTCAAAGGGTAACAGGGTAACAAAACCTTTCTTGTCTCCCCCAGAGCCTAATGCTTATATTTGAGAGTAGAGATCTTTTCCTGCACCTGCCAAAAAGGCATGCTCTTGTGCTCTCTCTCTCTTTCTGGAGAAGAGGAGGAATGAACGTGACAGCTCCTATATAATATCCCGTTTTCATAATTTCAGGGGTCCTCTACTGTAACACAGATCTCCTGGATGTGCAAGTGACATTCTCCATCTTCTTTTCACCTGGTGTGTGAATAATGGGGTGTGAAGAAAGAAAGCAAAATATTCTGTAAGTAAATAATAGGTTTGCCTCTGATGCAGAAAACCAATATTTACTGTTATAATAAAATAAGTACATATAGATATATAAAAGGTTATCAGAATTATATATTGAAGTATCACCTAAAATGATTGAATTTTGTTGTTTCAAGATTGGGAAACAGAGATGAAGTAATTCAGAAAATGGTTTCTTACGATAAGCCTTACATATCGATTTGACTCTGGAGACTATGTACCTGTGTAACTTTGATAAAAATAAACACTAATTTAAATGTTTAAATGACTACCAATAAACTCCTTTATCACAAAAGAAAAGTAGCTCTTTAGCATTATCTAGCTGACCTTGCAATTTGCAGTAGTGTAATATTTCTGTATTACAGTTTGATTTTACTTTTACTGCATTGTTTGCTATACTCTTACTAAAAAAGTGTTAGCCTACAGTATGCACTTGTTGCTTCACAAATGAATTCAAGAGCTATATGGTTAAAGGAGCTGGGCTCACATTGTAATTATTTAAGTTTGGCCACAAATGGCCTTCAAAGAATGCCTTGGGATTTTTTCATTTTCTCTGGGTCAGTACCTTTCCTCTCCAGGACCTTTTGCTATAAGTGTAATTGCAGTTTATCAAGGCAGTTAGTCATACACAAAAGTTTTCTGAGATGCCAGTTTGAGAAGGTCTGCACAGTAGTTTTCCAGCTGCTATCAGCCATATAACTTGGTGACACAAAGGTTTTATCCTTGTCCCACAGTTTTTCTCCTTAACCTTGAACAGTATTTCTTTGTGTATTACAGTTATCTCAATAGCTTTTGTGGAAAAATAGATGAAAATGGTCTACGAAGCTGTTAATATATTTTGATATTCACATGAAATTTGCCATTTCAAAGATGGAGAATGCTAAACAATAATGAGTAATGTAAATTTCCAAAATTTGTTGCATTAGATCCGAACTTATTACCCATACAAAATCTATTGTTTCTTGCATAAATGCTATTTTTTTCTGTAATAAAGATATTTGATAGACTATTTTGGAGATTTTGAAGGCTAAAGTTTTGGAAAGTTCCCTTTAGTGATAGATTATTATCTTCCCATAATTTAATAATATTTTATTTTATTTTTCAACAAATTTAGTTGACTTTTATTTGAAATTCATGAATTGGTGCAGGCTCCATTCTACAAAGTAGAATGAGAGTTCCCACTGGGCAATGGCAGAACAGTGGGTTCTGTAAGGTGGGAACAGGGAAGAACAACAGAAAGAAAAAGCTGTCCTGGTGCAGTGGCTCACGCCTGTAATCCTAGCACTTTGGGAGGCCGAAGCGGGTGGATTTCCTGAGTTCAGGAGTGAGACCAGCCCGGGCAACACGGTGAAACCCCGTCTCTATGAAAATACAAAAAATTAGCCAGATGTGGCGGCATGTGCCTGTAGTCCCAGCTACTTGGGAGGCTGAGGCAGAGAATTGCTTCAATCTGGGAGGCGGAGGTTGCAGTGAGCCCAGATGGTGCCACTGCACTCTAGCCTGGGCAACAGAGCAAGACGCCTTCTCCACAAAAAAATAAATAAATAAATAAATAAATACATTTTAAAAAACTGACTTGTTAACATCAAGTAAGGTTACTTCAGGTTAGTTTTTTGTAAGAACTAAAGCAGAGGAATCTTCCATATTATGCTGACTCATGTCGACCGGAATATCCTGTTTTCAAAGAAAAATTGGTATCTTGGGGGTCTATCTGCTTTTCCAGTTTGATTATTTGGCATTAAGCCTGAGTGACTCCATATCAGTTTAGTTTGGTCTGCTGAGGTCCAGTTCAGGAGCTCAGACTAAAACAATTGCTTCTCAGGATTTTTGTTTAACAATCATTATGTGAACTTACTAATTTATCTGCCATTGTAAATGTTCTAATTTTTTTTTTCCAGCTTGTCATTTGCCTTTCTAGTTCTGTTTTTCCTATCTTCCCTACATTAACAGCAGAGTTGGCTCTTTTCTATAGTTTTTATTTTTATGTTTTTCTCTGTTTATGTATTTCTTTATTTTATTGCTCCCTGACTGGCCTGGGCACTCACAGGCCACCTTGTAGTTAAGAAACCAGGATCCATGAGAGAAGAAAGGTTGCCCAGGTCCCTACCTCAAGAAAGTGTGGGAACCAGAATGGAAACCCAGTCCCATGTAGGGAAGAGCCTGCAAGGGTCTTTCTCAGGTCAGGTGCCTAGGCCAGAGACAGTCCAGAAGAGGCCTGAGAAGTGAAGAGGAGGGTTCAAGGGGCTGTTAAAACTCACAAGGGCCATGGAAGAGCAAGCCAACAGAGGACTACTGCCCACTCCCGCTGCCGGGCAGCTCTGTTCTCATACCTTCTTCTGGCATTGGCAATGGGATGTCCAGAACCTCCCCTCACTCAATAGATCCCTCACAGTGACCACGGTACACTGTACTGTGGGACTTTGCCTTCCAGGAGCTCACAGGTTGTTGGAAAATCCTATAGCCCTCTTCAGTTTAGACTGTCATTTTAGGAAGGTAAGTGGCAATGGGTGTGCAGGAACTGCAGTTGTAGGCCCCAAAGAATTCTACTGATGAACGCTGGAGGCTTTTGGCATCAGAGCCTGAAGCACTGATGTAGTCTGGTGTTGGACTTCAGGCTGTGTGGCCAGGGCATGAGAACCAGGAGCCCATCTCCACCCCCACCCCACTACCAATCCTTGCATCAGACAATTGGGGAGAACAGATAGACTACATGCTCATTACCATGTCAGTTACATGCTCCACAGTCACATGCTCAATTTCTAAATGTGTCGGCTCTTTCCTAACTTCCCAGATTGATAAGGTGATGCAGAGGATGAAACATGTGACAAACTATATTAGTCAGGGTTCTCTTAGAGGAACAGAACTATATATATATATATATATATATGTACAGGAGTTTGGCCGGGCATGGTGGTCACACCTATAATCCCAGCATTTTGGGAGGCCAAGGCGGGCAGATCACCTGATGTCAGGTGATCTGACCTCATGGAGAAAGCCCGTCTCTACTAAAAATACAAAATTATCCAGGTGTGGTGGCTCATGCCTGTAATCCCAGCTACTCGGGAGGCTGAGACTCGCTTGAACCCAGGAGGCAGAGGTTGTGGTGAGCTGAGATCATGCCACTGCACTCCAGCCTGGGCAACAAGAGTGAAACTCAGTCTAAAAAACAAAACAAAACAAAACAAACAAACAAACGAACAAAGGCTGGGCGCAGTAATCCCAGCACTTTGGGAGGCTGAGGTGGGTAGATCACGAGGTCAGGAGTTCAAAACCAGCCTGGCAAACATGGTGAAACCCCGACTCTACTAAAGAAAAAAATACAAAAATTAGCTGGGCGTGATGGAGCGCACCTGTAATCCCAGCTACTTGGGAGGCTGAGGCAGGTGAATCACTTGAATCCGGGAGGCGGAGGTTGCAGTGAACTGACATTGCACCACTGCACTCCAGCCTGGGCGACAGAGCGAGACTCCCCCTCAAAAAAAAAAAAAATGGTGGGGAGTTTATTAAGTATTAATTTACACAATCACAAGGTCCCACAATAGGCTCTCTGCAACCTGAGGAGCAAAGAGAGCCAGTCCAAGTCCCCAGACTGAAAACTTGGAGTCCGATGTTTGAAGGCAGGAAGCAACCAGCACAGGAGAAAGATGTAGGCTGAATAGCTAGGCCCGTCTCTCCTTTTCACATTTTCTGCCTGCTTTATATTTGCTGGCAGCTGATTAGATTGAGCCCACCAGATTAAGGGTGGATCTGCCTTCCCCAGCCCACTGACTCAAATGTTAATCTCTTTTGGCAACACCCTCACAGACACACCTAGAATCAATTTTTTGTGTCCTTCAGTCCAGTTGTTGACACTCAGTATTAACCACCAGGCAAGCACTTCTGTGGACAAGCAGCACTGCACTTGGCTTCTGGTTTTAGACTGTGCTGAGCCATTTGTCTCCCTAATTTCATCTCTAACTTACACCACATACTTATTCAGTAACCCCAAAGGTATAGTATCCCCCCAAAATGAGAGGGGTGTTTATTTCTGGGACCATGAGGGATCACTGTCCGCCTTCCCTCCTTGAGTGAATCACCTCTGTGCTGGCGTGCCCCCTTCCTCCATCCTCCTTCTTTCTTTCTTTTAGCATGGCTGGGCAAATGTTGGAGTGGGGAGAAACACTATGTGCTAGACCCTGTGAACTCTTAGACAGAAGACATGAATTTCTTTCTTTCGAAGGCAGGAAGCATCCAGCATGGGAGAAAGACGTAGGCTGGGTAGGAATTTTACTGTGGAGTTTGCTGCTAGGCCCCTACAAGGTGAGTTGCAAGGAGGGGATTGTTTCAGGAAAATGCCTAGGGACAGGTGCAGGTTCAGCTTCCATAAAGAACCCCATTTGGCTGGACACAGGGAAAAGAAGGCTGGATAAAGCTGGAGATGCAAGGTCGGATCAGGGAGCAGCACAAAAGCCAGGCTGGGGGAAGTCATCACTATGCACAGAAAAGAGAAGAATCCGTTATGGGGACACAGAAATGGCTAGAATAGAACTGATTGTGGTTTACTGATTACAAAATAATACATTTCTACGAAACAGTCCTCATCCTGCCAAGCCCCTCTCTCTAGCAGCCTTTGTACATTGTAAACGCGCCATGTTTATTTGGTTAATAAACAGAAGGACACCCGAATCCTTTTTTCTCCCATCTAAGAAAAACCCCAAAGTCCTGTGCACCCTGAGGCCCTTCCATTCTGACAACTTCATTTCCCTGGAAAGTGTGTCTGGAGGCCCTTCCACTATAAAGTATACAAATCTTGATATTCCTCTTCAATTTTCATAATGTGAACACTACAGATGAGCGCAGGACACAGACTAAGGTGATTTCCACGGGTTTGCCTTGCAGCTCCCCCAGAGGTGCAGATCCTGCAGCAGGTGCTCCGGGGCCTCCCGAGCTGGTTGGGTTAGAGAGGAAGAGAAGGAAAATGCTCCTAGCGCTTAGCAGGGCCCTGCACAACGGCTGCGCAGCGGCCAGGAAAGCGGCCCGAGAGGTGGGATGCGGCCAAAGCTGCTGGGGCGGTGGCGGAGAGGGCTGCTTTCAGGTCCCCGCGCACCCTACCCGGGCGCCTTCCCTGGCTGCCAGACCCACAATGGCTGCAGCTCTGCGGTGACAGGCCGCAGCCTAGGTCCCCACAGGGGCCTGCCCCATGCTGGGAGCAGGCCAGGTGCCCTGGGAGGAACTTGAGGCCCAGCACTGACAGCTTCTAGCTGTGGAAAGGGCTGGTGGCAAGCGGGACCTGGAAGCAGCGCTGAGCTGAAGGGCGGAAAGAGACGTTTGCGTAAGGCTGGCCTGGCACACTGGCTACCATCTCCAGGTCAAGGTGGTGGTGGCCGGGGCATTTGGGCCCGGGACGCCAGCGTGCCCTCAGAGGAGAACTTGGCCCCAAGCCTCCTCTGGTTCCCAGGAGAAGTTGCCCACATTGCTCTGAACCCCTGGGAATCTGTGCTGGCAGGAGTAGTCAGGGGCCAGCAACCCGGGCTGACCGGGGAGTGGGATCGGGGCCTGCGCCCAGGCTGCCTCCACACTGGGGCTTCCCTGGCTTCTCTTTGGTATCCGAGCTCTCTGGTTCTGAAACCAAACCTGGATTCATGGCTTGGGAATCTGTGTTTTCTGGCCAGTTATTCTATGACAGTAATATCAGGATAAGCGTCCCTTTGGAAGGCCTCAATTAGAATGTGTTTAGATATTTGTCAAATTCAGTCCTCCTGCTCCTCTGGCCTTGCTCAGGTGTGTCAAGCCATGATCTGAGCTCACTGTCCACTGGAAGCCTCAGTGGAAATCAATATTTTAAATATTTGCCTGGCATGGTGGCTCACGCCTGTAATCCCAGCACTTTGGGAGGCCAAGGCAGGTGGATCACCTGAGGTCATGAGTTCGAGACCAGCCTGGTCGAACATGGTGAAACCCCATCTCTACTAAAAATACAAAAATTAGCTTGGCGTGGTGGTGGGCGGCTGTAATCCCAGCTACTGGGGAGGCTGAAGCAGGAGAATAGCTTGAACCTGGGAGGTGGAGGTTGCAGTGAGTCCAGATAGCACCATTGCACTCCAGCCTGAGCAACACGGTGAACCCATGTATATAACCAACCACTTTTAGAGGGGAGGCACTTCATAACTAACCATTCCACACTTATGTCACTTTTGAGATAGGAGAATGTAAGGTGAATAATTAGCATCCTGACTTTTTACTTACATAAGAAACAGTGGCCTGGATAAATGTATATTACAGAGTACCAAGACAGAACAGACCTTTACATGATACAACTTCACTCTTCCTTGACATGAAAATGCAATTTGGACATTTCTATGTACATTTTTCACCCATTATTTGGTGAAAACCCAGCTAATCCTATTGATTCTCAGGTCCCCTTTCCAGATACTTATAGGCAATGTAGAATATAATAAAAATTTCTCAATAATATTGATTTATAGTATGTATTATTTAACTAGTATTCATTCAAATAACAATTTATCAAAAGTTAATGTTAATTCAATTTAATTCCATGTACTATGGTTTATTTGATATTTATGTTAAAGTAATATTTATATTACAATTAAACATTAGTTATATGTACTTAATACTTATTTTTAATTCAGGATGCCTGGTTGGGTGTGATGTATGTCTTTGATGAGAATATATTCCAGGTAAAGCTAAACCTTAAACCTTATCTCCGTATTTCCAAAATCATGAGTGCAAATCAACACATTATTATAAGGTTTATGAATCAAGTTGATCCCTTAATTTTAGAATTTAAATATTTTCAAACTAAAAAATAACAGAGTGTACTCCCAAGTTTAATTTCTCATTAATAAAGAACTAAAACTGCTGATGGATGTAAAAACAAATTTACATCCATCAGTTAGCAATCATCCTGCAAGTAATATATTTGGTAAAACTTCAACAAAACTGCTCTAAATGTGAAATGGAAATAGTTTTGTTATAGGTTCATATATTTCAGCTCTAATCCCAATATCTCAGAATCTAAACTTATTTGGAAATAGGGTTTTTGCAGATGTAATTAGTTAAGTTTGGATGAGGGTATACTAGTAAGATGTGGTCCTAATTCAATACGACCACTATTCTTACAAAAAACGGGACGATTTGGACACAGAAAAGCACATAGGGAAAGTGCCATGTGAAGATAGACAGAGATTGGGGATGCTAAAGATTGCCAGCCTACCACCAGAAGCCCTCAGAAGGAGCCAAGCCTTCTGACTTCTTGATCTCACATTTCTAGTCTTCAGAACTGTAAAATAATGCATATCTGTTGTGTAAACCACTCAGTTTGTAGTATTTGTGATACAATAGCTCTAGCAAATACATATAGCCTTTTATAAAATTGTATTTTAGAAGGCATATGGTTTTCCTCAGTTAAATGTAGAAAAACTTTATTTTCATATATAAAATTAGGTTTGAGGTTATCAGTGAAATAAATACATCTCTAATTTCCACAGTCTTTTTTAGTGATACCAAAAACTAAAACTGCCAAGCAAAATTCTTTGTAGTTCAGCTTTTCTGAGGGTCCTCCCTGTCTTCCCACTCATTACTCTTTTGTAACCTGTTCTGATCTTTATTTCGCTATCTTAATTTCAGGTGCCCAGTACTACATTGTATCCTTAATTTAAAAAGAAATCACAACATAAACCCTCAATTTGTCAACAAATTTTACAAGAGCATATATTAGAATGGGTGTTCAATTGTGTTTCCTCTCTTAAAATTTAGGACTTAAAAATTATTTTTACCTCTTTGTGGAAAGGAAAACTTTGTTCCCACTTAATGTAGATTCAGTTGTGCTAGAGAAGTTAATAAAAAAAAGAAAACTAGATATCAGGATATTGTAAGACCCTGAAATCACACCTACACTATCTGCAACTCTGAAATATGAGGTTAGAGATAATGATATAAGTATTGTTTTTCTAGCATGTTATAAATCATTCTACAAAGAGTAGTCATGTGGTAATAAAATGAATACTTTCTAGTGAAAATTTTATATTTTTTTGTTCTCAATATATGATTTAGTTCTTTTTAAATCTCTTTTGCATACATGCCCTTCTAGAATATCCAAAATCATTTCTTATTATCAGAGTGTTTTAGTATAAGGTACAATCTGTTATTAGCTTGTATCTTTGAGCAGAGACAAATTAAAAAATATCCTAAACTCTAAAGGGATACTTCATTCTTAATATTGTTAAGTAAAATGCTACCATAGCTATGAAAATCTTCATATTATTTTTAAATTAAAGTAACCAATTTTATTCTCAGAGACTTAGTATACTTACTAGAAATTAAGTTATTTCAAATACTTACATGTATTTTAGGGTAAATATTATGTAGAAACTTATCTGCAAAGAGTACTTTGTAATTTTTCACAATGCTTGATTTACAACAGCTGAAACAGCTGAAAAGCAAAGATAAAGCAGAATCACTAAAGGCAGCTAGGGAAAAAGAAACACTACACAGGGAGAATGAAAGATAAGAATCGTAGAAGAGTTATTGTCAAAAACTGCACAATTCAGAAAAGCAATGAAGTGACATCTTTAAAGTATCAGAAAAAGTAATCCTAGAAATTTATTCACAGTGAAAATATCTTTCAAGAGTAAAGTCTCAATGAAGATTTGTTTTTCAGAAAAAAACCAACAGGTACGTGCATTTATTGCCAATGGACCAATGCTACAAGGTATGATCAAGGAAGTTTTTCAGGCAAAAGGATTATGAGACCAGATGCAAACTTGAATTTACCACAAAAATAAAGAGCTCTAGAAATGGTAAAAATGAATATAAACATTTTCCCTAATTTTCAGTGTCTCTAAACTATAAATAAATATTTAAAACAAAAATAATAATAGTGTATTGTGATATTTATAGGCAAAATAAAATGCATAATAGTAGTACAATGAATTTGAGGCAAGAATTGAAAGGATACAGTTGTAAAGTTCTAACATTATTCATATTAAAAGATAGATTGTGATAAAACCAAGATATAAATTGTAAACCTTAATGCAACTGTTTTAACAATGAAGTATTATTAATAAGACAGTAGTAAAAATAAAATGGCATCATAACAAACGTTCAATTAATACAAAAGCAGGCAGTAAAAAGAAAAACGTGAATAAAGAATATACAATACAAGTATAGAAGAACAAACAATATAATAGATTTTAACCCTGCCATATTAATAATTATATTAAATGTAAATGATCAATAAAATATAAAAATCAATAAAAATATAGAGATTGTCATAATGTGTTAAAAAAGCAAGACCTAACTATAGTCTGTCTATAAAAACCACATTTTATTTTATTTTATTTTTTGTTTTTGAGATGAAGTCTCTCTCTGTCACCCAGGCTGGAGTGCAGTGATACGATCTCAGTTCACTGCAACTTCTGCCTCCTGGTTCAAGTGATTCTCCTGCCTCAGCCTCTTGAATAGCTGGGATTACAGGCACCCACCACCATGCCCAGCTAATTTTTGTATTTTTAGTAGAGATGGGGTTTCACCATGTTGGCCAGGCTGGTCTAGAACTCCTGACCTCAAGTGATCTGCTGGCCTCGGCTTCCCAGAGTGCTGAGATTACAGGTGAGTGCCACTGCATGTGGCCTAAAAGCCACGTTTTAAATATAAATATATTGCTAAGTTAAAAATCATAAGTATGCACAAAGACAATGGTAGCTTTTCCCTATATTCTTGTCTTTCAGTATTTCATTCCAACATTTTCTATATATTAATAAGATAGAAAATAAGAGGAACAAATTAAGTTATGGAAAAAAACTACTTCTAAACCTAATTAGCATACAGAGAATGCCTACATTCTTAATAGCTGTAAGATGTTTTAGTGTGTGGTCTTTTACACAGTTGTCCCACTCCAACCCCACCGCAAGACATTTCTGGAAAGAAAACACAGACCTAGAAAACCTACAGAAAAGAGATAAAGAAATAAACAATGAGGCATAAGGTCTAAAATCTCTGCCAGAAAAACTAAGTCCACTCTTTTCTAAAAATACTAAAATAATGTCCAGGTAAGACAGAGCATGAGCCACAGAAAAGATATTTAAGAGTTTCACAACTTAAAGAAGCAGAATTTAAAACACAAAGCTTCTTTGGAGGAGAAAGAAACCATAAAGAAGGCACCTCTGGCCAATGGGATAGTGAATTAAATGAAAGAGGACATTTTTGAATCCCGCAAGACAAAAGGGGAACACAAAACTAGATAATTCACAATCCCATTGCCTATCATAAAAGCAAACAAACAAAACCATTGAAGTTTTCGAGTTTTGAAATACTGTGAGACAGGAGTATCATTAAATTAAAAATCTTGTAAAACACTGTAATACCACACATAAAAAAATAGACAAGAGAAGATTAACAGATTCAAAATGAGCTTTTGAAAGAAATCTGAAAACAAAATTCAACACATATTAACTGAGGAAATTTTCCCTCAGACTAATAACCATGAAGCAGAAGAAAACTCCAAGTCAAAACTATAAATGGAATGAGATAGTCTCACAAGTAAATGAAGATTTGAAAAAATAATCTAAATCAGAAATTCAAAATCTGAGGCTAGACATGGAAAAAACCAGTAAAAATTAAAAGAAAGTTGATTGAATTCAAAAAAGAAATGGAATTAAAAGACAAAATTAACATAGAAATGAAGAATGGATTTTAAGACGCCCATGAGAGAATTGATTTTAAAAAATTAAATAAGGAGCATTGAAGAAAAACAGAAAAATAATTAAGAGAATAAAAATGAGTGAAGAAGTGAATATGATACAAAGATAGAAAGAGAAGGAGTAATATGTGTATTATTGCAATCCCTGAACAAAACAAAGAGTGAAAAGCAAAACTTTAGGACATTAGACATTAGAAAATAACTATTAACAAAAACATTGGAAAATAATGTTTGAAATTATAATCACAGAAAACTTCCCAGACATTTAATAAAAAGTTTGAACCTAAAAATGGGAAGACCCCACTGGGTACTTGGGAAAATACAGTTTATGAGAAAATTTAGTTTATCATTAACCCAGACTGATAAACTTTAAGACATATTCTAATAACCATTAGGTTTCAGAGTTAAAAGAAAAATTCTCATGACCTCATGGCCTAAATAAACAAACATGTAACTTGCAATGACAGATATATTGGACTGGCATTGGTCTTTTGATAACCCAATTTTAAAGCAGTAGTATAAAAAAATGCTTAATGAGAAAAACTAGTGTAAATTAAGTATTTGATATTCAGCCAAACTGTCCCTCCAGAACCAAGCAAGACTACAGGAAAATAGATAATAACAAGCAAGAACTTAGGTAAATTTGTATGCAGTAACCTTCTTGGGTAATCTATTAGAATATGAACTTTATATTTTTAATAACATCATTTAAAAGAAGCCTGGGACCATTTTTGGAAAATTCTTTTTAATTCAAACATTCCAAGCATATTGAACTAATGGAAAATTTAATTTCCTGAGAAATGTATGCACCAATATTGGTGGATGTACTTGAGAAAAATAATTAACACTATATTCCCAATAGGGTTTTTTCTTTATTTGGGAAACATTAATAAATTAATAAATTTATTCTGGGGATTAAAGGGACTTGAAACCTTCAAAGGGAAATTCACCAAGAATCTTGAAAATTATTCAAGTATAAATGAGTATGGAGGGGAAAATTATGAGGCATAAAACACCTGTCCTCAACAGGTAAAACTAATCAGATAAGAAGTTTAAAAATTTACTATTTGGAAAACAATAACTTGGCATCAAATCAGTGTGGCTAAAGGATTAACCAAGGAGATCTCTATAAAACAAACAAAAACTCTTAAACAGAAATAGTACTTCTTGAAAAACAAAACTACAATATTCAGACCAAATTTGATTTGTACCTCCTCCAAGCTTGAAGGTTTGTAAAGAAAGCTGGTGCCTTATGTCATCCCAGATTTGCAACCAGGTAGCACCATGGAAACATGCTGACTTAGTAGTTAAAACTTCTTCTCCATCAAATGATGGCAGTAATCCCACACCCCGAAAATACAAAGACACAAGGAGCATTATCTTTATTAATTTGCAGATATTAATCTGCAAACCATTTGATTGTGAATCAGACTTCCCTGAGTTTCCAGAGCGCTTTCAGGTTCAATTCTGTGTTCAACTAGGGGCATTTTTCACTTTTTAGTATCTGGTCAAGTTCTAATCTTTGTTCTTTCCCCCTGGAAAAAAAAATGCAGTTTATTGAAAATTAGAGCCAATTATGTTATTGCATTTTTCAAAAATATATCTAAGAGACCTTGGAATTATTATAAATTTTTTTGTCCCTTAACCTGGAAACATTTTTGATTAGCCTATGAGGTGGTGATACTTTTCCTATAACTGAATACATTTCTGTTTGTTTATATATTTTAAAAATTCAATTATATCCCTGTCTATCACCACTTGTATATTTAGCATTGGTATTACTTCATTGAGGAGGAACAATTTATGTGTTCCCTGACTTGGTAGCTTGCCATACCTTAGGGAATCCTCTCAATATTTTTTTCCTATGTCTGTGTCTGAAGTTGAAAATCCCAAGCAATTTTATGTCCTTACATACTGCTAACTATCCACCTCTGCCCAATACAATGACATCTATATTGTCCCACATCTCTGGTTTTACTTCAAAGACACTTCTATAACCAGAGTATATGGGACAAGTGGCTTGAATAGGGCAGAGAACAATATTGAGTATCTAAGAGTCAGATGTTGTGATGGACATTTTAAACCTGCCATCTAATTTCATCTTATTATTTCATGGAAGAGAACATTGTGTCTCAAAGAGGTTAGGTAAGCTTTCCAAGACAAATTCAAGCTTATCTTAATCCAAAGCCAAGTAGTACAAGAACATGATATGAGAAAAAGCAAGAAAATTCTGAATGCTCTTTTAAATGATTTTTAAATCTGGTTAACCCAGCCTTTCCTATTCTTGTGATCTTTGACATTAGAGACTTTGAGAGAGTGTTGAGGGTGGTGGGTAACTAGGTATAGAATTATCAGTTCCATTTGGAAGATTGCAAAATAACAAAATTACTAATTACGAAGTGAGAAAGGAAAAGAGTCTTTGTGAACATTCATCTTTCCTTCAGAAATATAGTATCCTAACCACATTGAATTTTTCCTTCCTAACCATCTCTAAAAACTATTATCTGAACTAAAAATCTCAGCACTAATCTAGTTAAAATATGTATTTGTCTTGTTTTACCAGAAAAGTTCTTTGAAGGCAGCAGTCTTGATATATACAGTCATGCACCATATAGCAACGTTTTAATCAATGACAAACTGCGTATCTGACAGTGGTCCCATAAGATTATATTATATTTTTACTATACATTCTCCATGTTTAGATATGTTTAGACACACAGATACTTACCATTGTGTTTTAATTGCCTACAGTATTCACTAGAATATGCTGTACAGGTTTGTAGCCTAGGGGCAATAGGCTATAGCATATATCCAAGGCGTGTAGTAGGCTATACCATGTAGGTTTTGGGAAGTACACTCTATGAAACCTGTGTAATAATGAAATTGCCTAAGGATACATTTCTCAGAACCTATACATGTTGTTAAGTGACACATGACTGTATATTTCTTTAGTATGCTCCAATTCCCAAATGGAGGTTAATCTCATAGAATTGAGTTTTGTTGAACCAACCTGTCCCAGGTTTCAACCCTTGTTGTGATTTTCCTAACCTTCTACTTTCTCTGTTGTGAGCTGCAGCAACATTTTATAGAGTTGTTATTTTACTGAGCTGTTTCTCTGGAAGCAGTTGTAATGTCTGTGGGGATAATGTACCACTTTCCTTTTTAGAGGAGCACTGAGAAATCCAGAGAAGCTTTTGGAAGGTATTGACACTGCTCAAAAGGAAACATTTTAAAATGAAAACTAGACACTTGACAATTAAAATTCTTCATGATATGACTCTGTTTTATCATGAAGCTTGAGGTTTCTGAGATGTTACCCATCTCATTCATGTATGTCTGTACCTACTTATATGTCTATCTGAATACTGCAGAAACACAAGGCATTTGGGTAGAGAAAAGCATTCTATATTGATGCTCACAACCACATCAACAGTAACATTGTTGCATTGGTCCCTCACACCTAGACCTATAGGCAACATGATGAGTTCTAATGAAAACTTTCCAGGCAAGTGGTTAAGTTTCACTGGTAGAGGAGAGATGATAACAGAAACAGCAATGGATTTATCAGCTTTCACTCTTCCCTTCTGAAAGATGGGATAGATAGGATCCTGGATTGCACTCACTGTTTTTAATATGTAAATACACCTTTCCAAGGAACAAGTAAGCCCTAGTGTCTATGGCTTTTATGACCTAAACATATCCCCAGGGTTTGGGCTTCATCATTTTGAAATGTAAATTCCTAGGAAGACAGTCTTCTTGACATCTTGATTGCTTAACCTAAGGGCCTAATCTAGGCTGTAACCAATTGTTCCTGTAGGAGAGAGAAGAGAAGTTTTATCATACTCTTGGATCAGCATGATTAACTCAACAAATGACTGCAGATCTAATCCTCATAATATGTGGATAGTTATATGTTTCTAGGGGAAGGGAAAGCAAACATTATTTTTATGTTGTATACATTTATGTGTCTCAGGTGGCTCAAAATTTTTACAGGAGAAATCTAGAGAAGTTTTATTTCCCCACATGCTCTCACCATCCTCTCAATATTATCACTCAGGGCTGCCCTTCATATACAGCATGTTTGACCAATGGGACTATTCTCTGGACATTTTATATGTTTCAGGAATTTTCACTCCAACTTTGCTTATGATATTTCCTCTATCCAGAATATCCTTCTCAGTTCCATGGGTCCTAATCCTACCAGATACTTCAACACACAACTCAAATACTTTCTCTTCAATGGATTATGCCAGATTATTCAGCTGGATACCTTCTCTTCCTTCTTTGAAATATCATCTCATAGTCTGGTCCTCTTTTATGGTATTTAATTATATTCTATTTTGGATTATTACTATTTAGATATTAGGTACTTTCCCTGATAGATTTTATACTGACTTGAAGCCAGGTTTATGATTCTGATTTAAGGTAGTATTGAATATTATATATATGTTTTCCAGATGAAGATGTCTCATTTATTTATTCATTTTTTCCCATGGCCTAGCATGTCTGTCCTTAACATCATAGGAACCTGATCTTTCTACTGGAAGGTAAGTTGTTTCATTTGGGAAGACATGTTAATTTAGGTAACAAATTCTTACTTTATCACAGGCTAAGAGCTACACTTCACAGAAGTAAGTACACAGCATCTGCATTCATAGAATGGTGGCTATGACCACCATCATGCATGTACTTCTAATAATATTTCTTATGTCAAAATCTTCTTGAAGCCATTTTAGAAACTTATTTATGTCCCATACTTAATACAGTGCAAGTATATTAATTGATATGATATTAATATACTTAATATAATTACTGACATACTGAATTATATAGTTCCATGAATATTGCATGAATAAATAAAGTTTGGCTTATTGCTATTATTACCTTATGAATCACTTGTAACAACATTATCAATCATTTTTAGGGGAACTAAACACTTGGTGAATTCCAATTAAGTGTTAGGATTATAACAAGAGTAAGGGTCTGAAAATAATTATTTGTATTATTTTGATTCTTAGCTGTTAATTTTGAATATTGCTAAAGTTAGTAGGCTGATATTAATATCCAATATTCAATTTTATCATAGAATATAGGCTGAGTTTCAACTTCAAACTTTCATATCCTTAATAGAAACTTTTAATTTGGTGTGACTTTTGAGGAAGAATTAGTACTGTCTTGTTGGTATCTGCATTTGGCACTCCCCTCTAATTCTGTTCTAACCTTATTGCAATTACACTCTTCAAGTGCTGGATTATAGACTATCCAGAAAATACGAGACTGGATTTCTAATCATGAGGCAATGAAAGAACAATACTTTTTAGCAAAACCATGAGGAGAATGAAAAAGTGAATGCAAGGCCTGATCATTTTGGGGTTGTGAACATCATTGCTTTATACCATCCAACTAAATGTGTGGCATTAGGCAAACTGTTTTCCTTTTAGAACTTCCATAAAGAAAATTTCAAAGTTCAACTCCATGATTGTTTTGGAGATTTTTGTAAAAGACTTTGATCCCCTTTTAATTATAGGGCTAAACATGTGTTAATGAGATCAATAAGAGTTCAAAAATTTGAGCTAAGTTTAATTATACCATAAAACATGATTATATTTCTTTTGAAATAAATGAATTTGAAAATTATAGAACAATGCCTACAAAATTGTTTTATGATATGCCAAAACCATCAAATGTTTTAAAAAATAAATGGCTGCAATTACTTCATGAGTTCTAAAAGATCCAATTATATTAATGATAATACTTATTTTTAATAGAAAGAAAAATTATTCCTACTGCAGATTATCCATGGTTATAAAGTTTAAGGAAAAGTTACACATATTTCTGACTAATTTGAAAAATTCAACACCTCTATGTACTTATGAGAGACATATTTCATTTATATAAATAAATCTTAGGACTTTATTTCATTTCTTTTTATTCCTTTGTTGGTTCATGCATCAGCAATTGTGATGGTAGAGCAACAGTACTAAGCACTACATGTGTACCTGTTGGAAGATAAGGTCTTTGGTGATTTGCTGCTTTGAATAGGCTGAATTATATTGTTATTTTGTATTATATTCAAGAGGAAAAGAGTGTTTGAAAGTGTTCTGTTGTGTGTAGAGCTCAAGATACTGCAATAATCTTAGATGAAACTTTTTTATATTGAGACTTTCAAATACTTGCATACATATCCTATCTTTTACTTTTAGAAATCCTCTTGGAGACAATGTGACTCTTCATTGTCTAATAAATATTTACTTTAGATTATGAGTAAGCTATCTTCTTTTGTGCTTACAAAAAATAAATACAACAATAGCAGAAACTTTTCTTTTTACTCCTCCTCATCTTCCTCCTCCTCTTTCCTCTTTTGGTGTATTACAGTCTACCCAGATTCCTTGAAATGGAAAGCCTTGATGGATTCCCTTGGAGTGTTTCCCTCCAGACTGTGTTTTGTAGAAAGTCTGAGGAGACCAAACCTAGCTATTTCTATGGAGGAGTATTCACAGCTGACAGATGGTAATATTAGTTTGTGCACAGTCTTCCTATCCTATGACTTTTGTGTTGACATGCTTTTAGAATTTTCTCTCTCGTCTCCATTTCAACTTCATTTATTCTAGGTTGTTTCTCATTTCCTCTAACGGGATTACCACAAGTCATTCTTAATTTATTTCTCTGAACTTATGATTCTTTTCATTTACCCCATCCTTTATAATTTACCATTCTTAAATAGTTGATCCATTTACATATTTATTTGTTCATTGTTTATTCATTTGCTTAATCATTCGCTATCTTTTCATACATCAAACTTTTGTCAAATACCTTCTATATGCCATAAATTCTGGTAGAGAGCTGAAATTATAACTCAGTTGCCATTTTCATGAGGTTTGGTAATTCATTTTTCTACTCAAATCTTAACTAGCTCCCATTTCTCCTAATTCCTCAAGTCAATTTGACTGCTTGTATTTCAATAAAGGCTGTCCACATTATAGCCCTTGGGTCTACCAACTCATTCAGTTATTATAGTTATTAGGTATGTGCTTATTAAACACTGATGACATTTAAAGTATTGCTTTCTGATATTCTCTTTCAATATCATTCAAAATGTGTTTTTTACAGTTGCCAAATAAAATACAGAATGCCCAGTTAGTTTGAATTTCAAGATAAGCAACAAATAAATTTTTAGTATAAGAGTGTTTATAAAATGTTTGGGACATATTTATATTCAAAAATTGTTTGTTAATAAAATTTAACTGGGAAGTCTGTATTTTCACTTTTTAAATCTGGCAAGGAACATTTTGGAACTTTGCTTCTTTGTATGAAATTGTGTGATTCACTCAGAATTTCTTGGTAATAATACAATATTCTTAGCACTTTATATATCTTAACTCAAGTAATCCTCAAATATATCCAATGCTGTAAGAATAGTATTATCTCACTTTAAACATAAGTGTGTTGAGATGCAGATATCAAGGAACTTGCCCACTCACCAAGCTAGTAAGTGTCAGTACTGGGTACGAGCCAATGACTTCGTATCCAGTGTTTTAACCATTACATATGATAGCTTCTGTGGAGCAACATACCTTTTACAGATGCCTAAGATTGCTCCAGAAAATAGTACTTGATAGTCACACTTCATATGGCACTTTCATAAATATGAACTCCTAGGAATGTAAGCACATTTTAAAAGTATTGACATATTCATTTTGCCCGGGTATTCATAGACCCTGAGTGCATGGACACCAGAAATATTATTAGGCCTCCTCTTCTCTGTTCCCTGACTGCTCTGGAAAGAAATCAGTATTCCACAAAGCTGGCCTGTAAGCTGCAGACTGGCTTGTTCCAATGACTACTCTCCAGACTTCGAGATATTAAAGCATGTACTCATTCTGTGTCCTGCAGTTACACCTTCTGAGACCTACTGAAAGGAATTCCATCCTTCTTTCCCATGTAAAATCAAACTAAGTCCGCAGATCAGTCCACCCCTCTGTATTTTTGACATGTGCCAGGTTATTCTGCAATGATCAGAGACTGTTCTCTTATCTCTCTCATTTGGCTAAGGATCCTTTCTCTTCTTCTCCACCGGAGTCCTTGAACTAGGCATTAGTAAAGCTTATTGTACTTAACCAATCTCTGCGCATCTGTGTCTCCAGAAAAGGTGTTATTGGCTGACTTATGTCCCCAACAAATGTATATTGAAGTCCTTACCCCTAGAAATATAGAATATAGTCATATTTGGATATAAAGTCTTTTAGGAGGTGTTTAAGGTTAAAATGAGGTCTAGGGTGGACGGTCATTTAATATGATAGGGGTGCCCTTATCAGAAGAGAAAATTTGTACGTGCAGAGAAATAGCAGACATGCACTCACAGAGAGATGACCAAGTGAATACTTAGTGAGAAGGGAGTCATCTGCAAGGCAGTGAGAGGGGCCTGAGAAAAAATCAAACCTGCTGAACGCTTGATCTCAAATTTTTAACCTCCAGAACTGTGAGAAAATAAATGTCTGTTGTTTGAACCACCCAGTCTGTGGTATTTTGTTTTGGCAACTCTAGCAAACTAATACATGAGGCTCATTTGTTTAGGAGAAAAAAAAATCTGATTCTGACTCTACCTCTGAAAATAGACATGAAACTAATGCAAACTAATATTCCTATGAACATGTCGTTCTCCTTTGAACCCACAAAGTTCAAAGTATTCAAATTTTAGCTGTCCTCCACTACCACAGATATTGCTCTTACTGGCTGTTACCCATGCCACTAGTTTACTATTTTTTGAGCCCCTGTTATGCGCTAAGTGATGAGCTAGTGATTTTCATATGATATCTCAACTAATCCTCATGACAACTCAGGGAGTTAGATATTATGACAGATGATACTTGCAGTCAAGACACAAAAGCATAAGAACCATTATTTATTGTTGTTTCATAGGTAGAACATTGCCATTCAATTCCGTTTCAGGTTACTTAGGTCAGGCTTAGTATCTTAATTTACCCACAACCTGAGAACATGATTGGTCCTTCATACATGCTGCTGAGTGATTACTTGATTGAATTGGGAGAGGAAGCTAGAAGGGGTAGAAATCCACTATCTTCTTGACAATGCATCTGCCCACATCATACTTCCTGTGGACTCTGTGCTATCTTGATAGAGAGGTTGATACCATCCATGCACTCAAATATATGATATCAGAATAATCATTTAGCTCATTTAAACTTGACTCAGGAGATAACTTTTTTCCTCCATTTGTATAAATTTAAGGGGCACAAGTGTAGTTTTGTTATGCTGATGTATTGCATAGTGATGAAGTTTAGACTTTTAGTATAACCATCACCCAATAATATATATTGTACCCATTAAGTTATTTCTCATCCTTCACCCACCTCCCAACCCCTCACCATTCCAAGTCTTCAAAGTCTATTATTCCAAACCCTATGTCCATGTATACATATCATTTAGCTCCTACTTATAAATTATCACTTATAAGTGAGAACATGTGATATTTGCCTTTCTGTTTCTGAGTTTTCACTTAAGATAATGGCCTCTAATTCTATCCATGTTTCTGCAAAATATATGATTTCATTTCATTCTTTTCCATGGCTGAATGGTATTCCATTGTGTATGTGTGTATATATATATATACATATATATATACACACACCTGATATATATATATACACCTATATATATATATATACCTGAGATTTTATATATATATATATATATATATATATATATGTCTGATCATCTGTTGATCCAGTTAGGATACTAAGATCTGGAGCAAGACAAGGATGCCCATGTGGATCTGGGTATTTACCCAAAGGAAAATAAATCATTATATTAAAAACATAACTGCACTCATAGGAAAAAGTTTTTGAAGTTTTGATCTAAAATTCCATATCCATATGTGAGAAGTTTGGGTAGTAGAAAGAACATTTGGCCAGAGGCCATATAATCTGGTTTATAGTACTGTTCCTATTCTGTAATAAAAGGAGCAATGTAGTGTTTTCAATCGGAATATTCAGAGTTATAATAAGGGCAATCATTGGAAGCTTTACTTGCTTCATAGGACTGCTGAAAGAGTCAGTAAAGCAATAGGGATCTGTTTTGAAACATTTGCTTCCTGAAACCTAGAACAATGTAGGCTCTCTTCCTTTGCTCCTTTCCAAATTTTACTATTTTTCCCATTCCTTCCACAACCTTGGAGTGACTGCTGGATTAGGTGGCAGACTAGACCGATTGACAATTCTCTGTTTTATTACATATAATAGGCAATATTTTATTTTTTGTTATGGTAAGAACACAACATGAGATAAACGATCTTAATAAATTTCTAAGCGTACAATACCTTACTGTTGACTATAGGTACAATGTTGTACAACAGTTCTATAGAGTTATTAATCTTTTAAAAAATTTATAATGAATGAAATTGATTGGTTCCCAGTTCTGAAGGCTGGGAAGTCTCAGTACAAAGGTACCAGCATCTGGCAAAGGCCTTCTTCTGTATCATTCCAGGGCAGAAAACAACAGGACAATAGAGATAGCAAGAGGGTACTGAACTTGCCCTTTTATAATGCACAAATCCCACTCATAAAGGTGGAGTTCTTATGGCCTAATCACCTCCTAAAAGTCCTACCTCTTAATACTTTTACAAAGGAAATTAAATTTCAACATGAGTTTTGGAGGGGACAAATATGCAAACCATAGCAATGTATAGTCAGCATGGAAATAAATTTCCAGTAAATTATAAGAAGCAGTCCATTGAGATCTGAAAATAATTCCTTCCTAGGAATAAAGGAAGACCAAGGAAAAAACATATTCCACATCTACTACATATAGAATAAACAGAAAATTACCCAAGATATCACTTTGGGGTAGGGGGGAATCTGTCCCCTCAATTATTTATCCTTTGAATTATGAACAATCCAATTACACTCTTTAAGTCGCTTTTAAATATACAATTAAGTTATTATTGACTATAGTCACCCTGCTGATAGGTGAGAGGATATCTCATTGTAGTTTTGATTTGCATTTTGCCAATGATCAATGATCTTGAGCACGTTTTCTTATCCGTTTGCCATTTTATGTCTTCTTTTGAGAAATGTCTATTATCCATTTAAAAATTGGATTATTAGCTTTTTCCTGTAGAGCTGTTCCAGCTCTTTATATATTCTGGTTATTAATCCCTTGTCAGATTGGTGGTTTGCAAATATTTTCTTCTATTCTGTAGGTTGTCTCTTCACTTTGTTGTTTCCTTTGCTTTTCAAATTGATGTCATCCCATTTTCCCATTTGTCCTTTTTTTTTTTGAGACAGAGCCTCACTCTGTGGGCCAGGCGGGAGTGCAATGGCACCATCGCAGCTCACTGCAACCTCCGTCTCCCAGGTTCAAGTGATTCTCCTGTTTCAGCCTCCTAAGTAGCTGGGATTACAGGCACATGCCACCACGTCCAGTCCAGCTAATTTTTTGTATTTTTAGTAGAGACTAGGTTTTGCCATGTTGGCCAGGCTGGTCTTGAACTTTTGACCTCAGGTAATACCCCCACCTCAGCCTCCCAAAGTGCTGGGATTACAGGCATGAGCCACCCCACCTGGCCGTATTTGTCCATTTTTGCTTTGGTTGTCTATGATGGTAGAATATTACTCAAGAAATTTTTGCTCAGATCAATGTCCTGGAGATTTTCCCCAATGTTTTCATTTAGTAGTTACATAGCTTGAGTCCTTAGATTTACTTCTTTAATTCATTTTGATTTGATTTTTGTGTATGGCAAGAGATAGGGGTCTAGATTTATTCTTCTGCATATGAATATCCAATTTTCCCAGCCCCATTTATTGAAGAGATTGTCTTTTCCCCAGTGTATGTTCTTGGCACTTTTGTCAAAAATTAATTCAGTGTATGTGTGTGGATTTGTTTCTGGGTTCTCCATTCTGCTCCATTGGTTTATGTGTCTCTTTTTATCCCTGTACCATGCTATAGAATAATTTGAAATCAGTTAATCTGATTCCTCCAGTTTTGATCTTTTTGCTTAGGATAGCTTTGTTTATTCTGGGACTTTTGTGGATACATATAAATTTTAGATTTTTTTTTTCTATTTCTGTGAAGAATGTCATTGGTATTTTGATGGGAATTGCATTGAATCTGTAGATTTCTTTGTGTAGTATGGATGTTTTAACAATATTGATTCTTCTAATACATAAACATGGAATATCCATTTTTTGGTGTCATCTTCAATTTCCTGCATAAATATTTTATAGTTTTCATTGTAGAGATCTTTTACTTCTTTGTTTAATTTCTAAGTATTTCATTTTATATGTGAATATCTTAATGGGATTACTTTTTAAATTTGTTTTTCACATTGTTCACTGTTGGTATATAGAAATGCTATTGATTTTTGTATGTTGATTTTTTTTATTATACTTTAAGTTTTAGGGTACATGTGCACATTGTGCAGGTTAGTTACATATGTATACATGTGCCATGCTGGTGTGCTGCACCCACTAACTCGTCATCTAGCATTAGGTATATCTCCCGATGCTATCCCTCCCCCCTCCCGCTGTATGTTGATTTTGTATCCTGCAACTTTACAGAATTTATCAGTTCTAATAGTTTTTTGTTGGAGTCTTTAATTTTTTCCAAATATAAAATCATATCATCTGCAAACAAGAATAATTTGACATCTTCCTTTGCAATTTTGATGTCCTTTGTATCTTTCTCTTGTCTGGTTGCTCTAGCTAGAGCTTCCAGTACCATGTTTAATAACAGTGGTGACAGTGGGCATTCTCATCTTGTTCCATGTCATAGAAGAATGGCTTTCAGTCCACCACCACTATGACTGCACTGGGTCAGACCTGAAGCCAGCATAGCACTGGGTCTCATGCAAGGCCTGCTGTAACCACTCCTGGCTACTGCCTATGTTCACTCAAGGTCCTTGGGCTCTACCATCAGCAGGTGGCAAAGCCAGCCAGGTCTGTGTCCTTCCTTTCAGGATGGTAAGGTGCCCCAGGCTCCAGCTGGGTCCAGAGGTGCCATCTAGGAGTCAAGGACTAGAGTCAAGAATGTTAGAAGTCTACCTGGTGTTCTATTGTATTGGGCTGAGCTGGCACTTAAACCACAAGATTTAGTCCTCACTCTTGCCTTCCATTTCTAAAGGCAGAGAGCCTCATCCTGTAGCTACCACCACCCCCAGGCCATGAGGAATACTGCCAAACTACCAGTCAATGTTTCCTTAAGGCCCGTGGGCTCTTAAGTTAGCTTGTGGTGAATTCTTTCTGGCCTGGGACTCACCTTTTAGGGCAGTGGGCTCCCCTCTGGCCCAGGGCAGGTACAGAAATGCCATCCAAAAATCAAGTCCTAGAGTTGAGGACCTGAAGAGCCTGCTTGGTTCTCTGCCTCACTGTGGTCGTGCTGTTACCTATGGAACAAGACAAACTCTCCTTTACTTTTTCCTCTCCTTATCTCAAGCACAAGGAGTTTTGCCCCATAACCACCAGAGCTGGTAATGTGCTGAGTCTCACCTGAAGCCAGCAAGTCTCAGAGGCTCACCCCAGGCCCTTGATATAGCACCTGGGTATCAATGCTGATATTCAGGGCCCAATGGCACTTTAGTTAGCAGGTGATGAATGCTCTCAGGACTGGGTCCTTTCCTTCAAGACGGTGGGTTCCCTTCTGGCCAGAGTGTGTCTAGAAATGTCGAGCTAGGGCCTGGAATGGAGGCCTCACGACTCTAACCCTATGCTGCTGTGACTGAGCTGGTATCCAGCATGCAAGGCCAAGTCCTCCCAACTCTTCCCTCTCCTCTCTTCATGCAGAAGGAAGGGATCTCTTTTGGAGCTGTGGGCTGTGCTGCCTGAGGTTAGAGTAGGGGTGATGCCAGCACTCCCTTGGCTGCCCAAGCTTGTGTCTCAGTATGTTGTCTTCCCGCTCTATCTAATGTCATTGGGCCTAGTTCAACACCAGGACTTGCCTAAGAGTTGCAGTCCTTATGGCCTAGATTACCTTTCCAATTTACTTGGAGATTCAGAGTACTGTAGCCCATGGTGGCGAGGTTTGCAAGCACTCAAGTTTTGACCACTGGGGATTCTTGATTCCCCTCTGGCTAGGGCTGTCTTTTGCTCCCTCTGTGAGTGGACATTAGCTAATTTGGTTTGGTTTTTCTTTCTGCTTTAACAGGACAGCACTGACTTCAATGCTTTACAATTGCTGTGCTCTCCCTCCCCGAGCACCCAGAGATGCCCTCTGCACCAAGCCACCACTGCCAGGGTAGGGGTGGGGTGGCAATGGCTATTCAGGATTGTTTTTTCTATCTATCCCAGTGCCTCTTTCAGTGAATATAAAGTTAAAACCAGGCACTATGAATGCTCACCTGATTTTTGGTTCTTATGAAGGTGTTTTTTTCTATGTAGATATTTGCTGAGGGAATGATTGGTAGAGTCTTCTATTCTGCCATCTTGCTTCACTTCTTATTTATCTTTCTTGACTGAAATTTTACGCCCATTGATGAGTAACTCCTCATTTTCTCCTCCTTCCAGCCCCTAGTAACCAACATTCCACTCTAATTCTAAAGAGTAGAATTAGTCTTTCTGATTCTAAAGAGTGGAATTAGTCTTTCTAATTCTAAAGAGTGGGATACTTAAATTCTAACAACTTAAGTATTTTAGATACCTCATATAAGTGGGATCATGCAGTATTTGTCTTCCTGTGACTGGCTTACTAAACTTAGCATAATGTCCTTAAGGAAATAAACTAAATGTTTATTGATAGAAAAATATATAAAGAAAACATAATTTATACATACAATAGTATATTATTTAACCTTTAAAAAAGAAGGAAATTCTGCAATATGCATCAACATGGACGATATTTTATTTTTAATAGAACCTTCAAGTTTTCTATTAAAAATAGTGAATAAAAGGGCTTTTTTGATATTCTAAAGTCACTCTATTTTGGTGGCAGCTGTTATATCTTGGAATTTGTTGTCAGGATTTAACTGTTTTTCTAACAGCAAGGCATAGTGATGCTGGAATAATAGCTAACGATTATTGAACAAGTATGTACCGGGCACTAAACTGAGACTTTTACATACATTTTAATTGCTTAATTCTGACATCAGTGGTATGAGGTAGATACCATTCTAAATATGAGAAAATGGAAAATTCACAGGCTAAGAAACTTGCCAAAAGTTATTTAACTACTAACTCTCGAGCCAGGATTTGAACACTAGCAGTCTGACTCTGTGCCCTTACGCATGGCTTTATTTTGGAGAAATAGAAGTTTGCCAGAAAATAAAAGTAATAAAGCATCCCAGGCAGAAAAGAGAATGTGAAAAACAATAAAATGCATTTAAAGCATCTGTTCTCCCATTTCATGTACATTATTATACCCTCAGCATCTGGCATGCTGCTTGGCACAAAGTAGGTATTTAATAAATACTTATGAATTTAATAAATGAAAAGTGGAGACTTCAATTATTAAATGCTCAGGAGGCCATAAGAAAACTGATATATACAGAACTTAGAACATGACTGGAAAAATATAAAGAAGTCAGTATACAATATTAAATGAATAAAGATTTCTAGATAAAATATTATATAAAGCAAGCTCATTCATTCATTTATTCATACATTCTTTAAAAATTTATTGACCATTTGCCTTATACAAAATATTTAAGAATCAGAGATATATAAATAATGGAGCTACACTCTGCATTAGAGGCATAGACTTTAAATATTTTAAGCAAGTCCTTTGAAGAATAAAGTCACAGAAATTATTGCATTTACTGACAGCATTTACAAAAATAAAAGCTATTAAGCTGTTACTTAGACAATAAAATAAAGCAATTATCTCTGTTGACATACATCAGCATTAAAAATTAAGGGAATTTTAGCATTTTTTACACCAATAAAATTACCATAATTTATTATGATATTTGCATGTCAGAAATCATTATCTTTTTAATAACATAGGTGAATAGAATTCAGTATAATTTGGTGAGAAAGTGACATACATGCATAGAAATCAATAGAAAAGTTGTTTTTTGGCTGGTCAGTGACACTTCCTTGCCATTATATGAGCATTGATGAGATTGAAGTGTATGTACATTAGAAAGGAAACACAGCAATAAACAAATAGCAATATTTTGTGTATGTGCAAAAGCAACATAAAATTTTGTGTCAAGGGCTAGATATTGAGTAGAAAGCTATCCATCCTTGGCAAAAATACAAATTTAAGAAAGCAACAAAGTGGAATAAAATAAAGAGGAACTTATATTAATAAAAAGTGAAAGTGAATTTTATTGCCACATGAATTCTTTGTTTTACTAATTATTCCTGTGTTCTGCATAACATTGAATAAATCATTACTGGCACTTTTCTAGCATTTAAACTTATATTAATCAATGTAATACTTGCAAGCAGTATTTATTGTTAGTGAGAAAATTGTGGGATTACTGAGAAATTGTGGAATTAACAATTTAATGAGTGAGAAATTGTGGGATCAACCCTTTGAAAAGGAATAGAAGAAAGCAGAAATGGAGAAGAAGAAGTCAGGCTATGACACAGGTCCAATGACAGTGTCTGCTGACCCCAAGGAGTGCTCAGGAGCTAGAATGGCCCTTAAGAGTCATCTGTTCCAAGTTTGGTTGAGATGGCCAAGCCCATCTTCAACGTCAGTTGTTCATTAAATGTGAGCTGCCTGGAAAGCTGCTTTACTTTGGGAGAAATGGCTTTCTGCATCTGAAACAATTCCTGAAGAGGCTGACAGCCAAAGGCAGTCTGACAACAGCACTTCCAGCAGTGAGGGCAAGAAGTTTGTCACTGAAGGGGCCACACATCCATTCCTACCATAGTCACCTATCAAATAACATAAAGAACACTTCAGAAAAAGGAGTAGTCTCCTTTTCCACCTTTCTGTATTACCAGTGCTGCTACCCATAGCTAATCTTATTCTATGGTTTCTATTTTGATATTTTCTAGTGGTTAGTCCTTAAGCACAGGATTACATAGCTTTACCTATATTTCTTCAGTATTTCTTCAGTCATAATCAGGTTCCATGCTTGTAAACATGGGTTTATGTTGGAGGAATGAAAGTTTACCAGAAAATCAAAATCATAAAACATTCTAGGAAAAAGAGAGAGGGTGAATGATATGGTTTGGTTCTATGTCCCCACCCAAATCTCATCTTGTAGCTCTCATAATTCCAACGTATTGTGGGAGGGACCCGGTGGGAGATGAGTGAATCACGAGGGTCTTTCCCATGTTGGTCTCGTTATCTGATGGCTTTATAAGGCAGAGTTTCCCTGCACAAGCTCTCTCTTTGCCTGCCATCATCCATGTAAGATGTGACTTGCTCCTCCTTGCCTTCCACCATGATGTGAGGCTTCCCCAGCCATGTGGAACTGTGAGTTCTCCATTAAACCTGTTTCCTTTGTAAATTGCCCAGTCTCAGGTATGTCTTTATCAGCAGTGTGAAAATGGGCTAATACAGTAAACAACAATGAGATGCATTTTAAACATCAGTTTTCCCCTTCTTTTATGTGCATTATTGCATCCTCAGTGCTTGAATACTGCCTGGCACAGAGATGGTATTTAATAAACATTTATTGACTTCTTCTGTGAAAGATGAGGATTTGGCTTACTTTTCTTACCCCTGCTCTCAAATATTTATAGCTTAATTATTATGTTTAATTTGTCTATTGATCTCTTCTCTAATTCAAATGCTATGTTTACACCATTTTTTAAAAATTGTATGTGCCCTCAACTGCTAACAGCATCACTCACTTCCTGATTCATACAATAAGGACTCTCATGAGTTTCCTTTACCTTTTCCTGCTTTCTGCTTCCCAGCATCTATCTTCTATAGCTTTACTTTTATATTGTTAAATTTATTGACATTTATATTCTGTTTCTGAAACCACAACCATGCTTTTCCTCCCTTGCGTCTCAGGATCAAATGTGATAATGGCTACAAACTGTTCAAATAAATGAAACTTTTGAAACCACTGGTTTAAGACTACCATCTCAGAGGTTCTAGTGGCTAAATATCATCTGCTGAGTTGTCAGCTGAGGACTGTGGCCTGGACTTACCCTGTAGTTTTGTTTTATTTGGCATTGGTAATATTTTATACATTTGAGTCAGTATTTAAAAGCTAGATGATTTTAGGTTTACTCTTAAAGAGCAAGTGAACAGTATTTATCCTGTTTCTTCATTGTCAAATAACGCGCTAGGATTAGATTTCTTTTCTATAGGAACAATGTCACATACTTGGGTTGCTCCTAGGAAGAACGTTTCTAGCATCTTTGTACCCTTTGCGTCATAATGCTAGCATGTAAAGTTTCCCTTGTCCTAGAATTTTCTCCCCCTGGAGGTCTTCTATTTCCTGCTCCAGTCTGGATTACATACTCTCCATGTCTGCTGCATTTGAGGATGCTCCTTTTTTATCTGGAACTCCTGCTATTCCAAGTCTGTATCTCCTGGAATGTTCTTTTATCTGCTTCTTTTCATTCACATTTTCTGTCCACACTTTCTTTCCTGCACTTTAAAATATATTATTGCTTTTTCATTCTGGTAATATTATTATAAATCCATAAGAATGCTTTGCCATTCCCTAGCTGATACTTTTGTCAAGAATCCTAGCTTTATTTGATCTCTCTGATCATATCAGAGGTTTCTCTTCTGCTTCCTGAGTGATCTGTTTTTCTCTGATGTTAAATTTTCTATTTTCTTGTTTTGGTCATTATTCTCTTTCATGATTTGATGCTTCTCTTATACCCAATGATCCTTGGTTGTCCTTAAAGATGATTAGGTGATGGGGTGAGTAGGTGCTTTGGGGTGTTCTTTGCTATTATGTAAATAAGTGTGTTTTCTTTCAGGTCTCTGCCTTAATTGGTATTTTGACTAGGAACTCTCTATGGAATGACGCATGGGAGTGCCAGTGCATGATTTTTATTCCTTAGTGGGAGAGTTTGGTGGATGTAGTCTAATTGCTGTCAGCATCAGGATTCACTTCTTTCTAGTAAGTCTTATTTATTTATTTATTTATGTACTGGCTGAAAATCTAACGACTGCGTATTCCCTAGACTCCACAGCAGACATGATTTTGGGAGTAAAGTAGGTTCTGTGCATTAGATACAATTGTATCAGATTTGTAAAGTAGGAGAGAGAAAAAACCATCTTCCTACTGTCTTATGGCTCTTTTCTGCTGGCAATAAAGGTGTTAGAGATGTATCTCTGCAGGAATGTTCCAATCTCCAATCTCCAGCTTTCTGTTTGTCAGAGTGTAGGTAGGCACTCTTTACTGAGTCCTGTCTTTTGACCTGTGAGTTCATGAGCTCAACAGTTTTCATAGTTCTGCTTGTTACGGAAGTAGCAATTGCTCTTGTGGATCAGTTCTGCACTGCTCTGGAAATCATTTCTGAAAGCCAGTTGTAGATCCTGCTGCTCCATCACTTCCATTCATTTTACAATCACCTAATTCCCTTTACTTAATCTTGAGTTGCTTTAAAAAAAAACAGAGTTGTTTTTGTTTCAGTACTGACATCAGACAGACAGAATGAGCAGGTAGGGAACTGGAAATCAGGCTACAGATCCTTAAATGTCAGAATGGGGAGAATAAAGAAATTATCAGGAAAACATCTGCAGTAGTTTTCCTTATAATTTCTTTAGAGAGGAGCCATTTACAATTGGTATAAGGCTTGGATAAATGCCTGATGCCTACGTCTGAGTTGTGATGGGGGAAGAATAGAGGGACATCTGCTCCAGTTGTTCTGTACACGTCTTCGGTTGATTTTGCTGTTTTCAAACCTATATCTCACTCCTATCCTCCATTACACCTGCTGCTTTTAGGTTTCCATAAACAGATTGGGCAACTTTGGCCTTATAGTTCTTATACGGTGTATTCTCTCTCTCCTGTTTTTATTGAGAAATGCTCCAATTATCCTTCTGTCTTCCAGAAATTTGTTTAACTTCTTGACATACTAGTGACACTCCACAAGTATATCCTGATGGTTATATCTATTCTTTCATTTCATTAGAATGTACGGAGACAGAGGCTTTTTTTCCAGTCTAGATCTTTAGCCAGGGTCTTACTTGAATTGCTTGGTCTTCAGAAGCAGAAGCTGAAGAAGAAATGCTGTCTGTCATAAAAGTGATATATCTGGCCATTTAATATGTTAAAGGCTTATCTAAATTTTAATAATTGTGAAGTTTTTAAAATAAATCTTTTTAAAGCTTATACCTTTTTTCTCCTTAGAGGAAAAGTATTTTAAACTCTTGAATGTTTTATCCCTGGCAGACAAGCAAACATCATCATTTTCTATTTAAACCTACACATCAAAATTGGAAAAATGTAAGGGTTTTTTAGTTAGAAGAAAACTTGTATGCAAATTTTGATGTTGCCACTTATAACTTTGGAAGGTGAAGCAAATTACTCCCTCTGAGCTTCAGTTTTTAAAACATTTTTAAATGTGGGTGTGAATATTTACTATGCAATAGTCAAGTAAGAATTAAATATTATGAGGTAGACAAATGAAGATGACTACTATAGTGCCTACTATACAGTACTTGTTCATTTTTTTTTTAAACGCTCTCCTTTGGATAACTAGAAAATTTTCTAAAAGTGACTTCCTTAATGTTGCTTCATGCACATAAAGATGTCTGTGAAGCATAGGAAAATCAAATACCAAGAAAAATCTGCTAAAAACATGGAGAGTGAAGTTTACTGTTTTGCCCCAAGAAGGCATCATGGTAATATATACAGAAGATAAAATGGTTTAATATCTTCAAATTGTGATAGATAATAGAGACAATGGATTAAAAGTTCTAAGATGCATTGTAAACCTCATCTGAAATTTTTAAAAAGAAAATTGTAATCAAGCTAATAAAGTATACTGAATCTCAAAGAGATCTCTAGCTTATCTTCTAATTCATTATCCTGAGCATTGATTGAATTCTTGTAGCTTCTGAAAGCTGTATAAAATCCATAATTTTGGAGATATAATTGAGGAAAGGATGGTATAAACAAATATCTAACATAAAAGATCTATGTGGCCTTCTTTTATAATATTACTCTGAGTTTTCTTTAAAAAGTATTTTAAAAATATTTCTCTTTGGGAAAAGTGGCACTGAAAGTCATCATCAGCATATGGTGATTATAATGACTAAAAGATAAGTTTTTATTCCACACCATGACCTAGCCATCTAAATAAAATATTAGTTTCCCGTATTATTAAGATTAATGTCTTTAGGCATAATGAAATGTTCAGCCACAAACAAATAGACCTCTACTCTCTGATTGAATCTTAAATGAGCCAATGAAAATGAAGTCCCTACTCCCAATGTAACAACCTAGTAAGAGGTGGACCAAGAAAGAATATGACCTGGTTTTAATGGTTAGGAGAACTGGTACAAACACTTATTAGATCTCTGATCAGGAAATACTGCTTCTGAGATCACTGCTTTTCTTAAAATGTGATATTTAAGGTATGAATGAACTCCTTTGACTTCTCCCTTAAGTACACAAATAATGTGAGCAGGGCAATATGGGTAGATCATGAGCTAGAGACCATTGATAAAAGATAAGGCCAAAGCAGGAATACCTGAGCCCTGAGGAGATTGTACAAGTTTCCAGAGAGACAGAGAGAAAAAATTTCCTTTAAAAGATCAAGAATTTGCATAGACTTTTTGGCAGTACTGAAAGCTAGAAGGCTGTTCTGAAAATGCACAGTGAAAATGATTTCCAATCTAGAATTCTGTACTATCAATCAAATGTAAACATAAAAATAAACATTTTCAGACACACAAGATGTGGAAAAAAAACTCACATGCATCCTTTTCTAGGAAACTACTGTAGCATATGCTCCCCCAACACAGAGTAAACCAATAAAAGAGAATACATGGGATCCAGGAAATGGAAGATCTAGTACAAGGGAAAGGTAAAGAGAATTCCTAGGATGACGGCAAAGGAGAATATGAGGAAGATAACTAGAGTGCAACTTGACCAGGCTTTGCAAGTAAGAGGTGTCTGGAAGAGATGTCTCTGTGAAGATGGAATTGTTAGGATTCCTGACATGTTGGGATATATTGAATAAAGATTTATATAACTGAGATTTTTTTTAGGGATGAAGAATAGTAATTACATAAAAATTAAGCCAATAAAATATTTTTTGTAGGAAAGGAAAAGTATATATAGTATACTACATGGATCAGTCATAAATATCATTTACTTAATTATAATAAATAAATATCTGCCCAAAGATCAACCTGTCATATTCTGATTTCTTAGTACATCAAAATTTTTACTACTAATGGTTTGTAAATGTTGAGCATATTTCTGTCAGCTATTTATAATATAATATGTGCATAAGTAATTACTCATCAATTATTATTATTTTTAAAGAAAGGATCTCACTCTGTTGCCCAAGTTGAAGTGCGGTGGCACAATTATAGCTCTTGAAACTCCTGGGCTCAAGGGATCTCCCCACCTCAGCTTCCTGAGTGGCTAGAACTATGGGCTTGCACTACCACACCCAGTTAATTTAAGATTTGTTTTTAGAGACTGGATCTCACTGTCTTGTCCAAGTTGGTCTAGAACTGCTGGCCTCCAGTGATTATCTCACCTTGGCCTCCTCAAATGCTGGCATTACCGGCCTGAGCCATTATAGCTGGCCAATTATTTCTTATTTTCTAAGCATTATTTTAGAGAGAGCAAGTCAATGACCAAACTTTTGAGGATCTATGTTACATATTTAAGATGGAAATCATAAATATCTATATATAATGAATAATTGATGGTAATTAAAAATATGTTTTAAGTGGATACTCATAAATACAACAATGCATGTTTTTATTATATACTTTGATGAAAATGATTTTTCTTTGAAAAGAGTCAGTGCACTTCCATTTTGCCTGTCAATAAGATATTGTCATTCACTATAACAGAGAGGATAAAAAATTGCAAATAATTTTCATGAAGATACTAATTAAAAGAGAAAATGACATAATGGGATGCTGTATCAAATACTGCATTAAAGGATAGCAATCATAAATATTTGTGGTTTGTGGATGGAGGTAATGGGGATATACTCCTAAAGTAATACAATGCTGCTACTATAATATAACAAAGTTATTTTTCCTTTTTTTTTTTTGAAATGTAGTCTTGCTCTGTTGCCCAAGCTGGAGTGCTGTGGTGCAGTCAGCTCACTGCAACCTCCGCCTCCTGGGTTCAAGCAATTCTCCTCTCAGCCCCCCGAGTAGCTGGGACTACAGGTGCATGCCACCATGCCCAGCTAATTTTTTTTTGTATTTTTAGGAGAGATGGGGTTTCACCATGTTGGCCAGGCTGGTCTCGAACTCTTGACCTCTGCCTGCCTTGGCCTCCCAAAGTGCTGGGATTACAGGTGTGAGCCACTGCGCCCGGCCTTTTCCTTATGTTTTCCAATCAGATCTCTTTTGGTTACCTTATTTTCAAAATGTAGTGAATTAAAGCAACATTAAAAAAAAAGGTGAACTTAGAGGGTCAGAATGGTATAATCCAGTTATAAATCTGAGTGGTTTGACCATTTTCATTATAGGCAGAAGACTACTGGTTAACTTTCTAAAAACAAAACCATTTCTTTCATTTTTGAAATATAAAATGCTATATTAAGCCTTTTCTCAAGCAACTATTAAGAGAGCACTTACTGGCGAATGTACAAAAACTCTATTTTTGAGTAATTATATACCTAATGCCACTTGAACTAAAGCATGTAAGAAAAATGTGTGCATTTTTCTTCATTTAAGGACTCGTCTATGGTAAAAATGTATGACTTTTTTTCAAAACAAAAGCAGTGGGAACATGGGAGAAACATGCCTTCTTTATTGCTGAAATATATATTTTCAGTGGTTATACTCTTAAGGAAATCCTAAAGCTGTAATGCATTTGGTGTTTTTTTTTTTCCTGTAACACAATAAGAATAAAATGGCAGCTCAGCATGAGACAACTATTATACACAACATCAGATATATTTCAGGTATTTGAAAGCTGGAATTTTTCTCTACCATGGGTTATGGTTTTAGCTTTATAACTGCCTTGCTGTGAAATTGGACAAGTCATTTAACCCTTCTTAATTTTCTTCCACCAAATCGCAAATGGCAATTATTAAACTCCATACTATTTTATCTATGCATATACTTTGCTATTCTATACAGAAATATCCCTACTAATGGTACTTCCTGCAGGTCTGTCTAAAATGCTCAGTGAGTGACCTGTAATCCAGCTCTCCACTTAGTGAATGTTACTCTTACCTGTGGAGTCCCTTATTAACAACATACTGACTCTGCCCTTCAAGCTGCCTGATATTTACACTCAAACACAACTACCCTGTCTATGCTTTCCTCTTGTCAGTGTGGTCTGTAGGTGCCACATATAGGACACTTTTAGCAACTATGTCAATCAGATCAAGTGATTCTTTTGTGGACTTTTAACCTCAAGCAGAAATAAAAGTTTTCTCACATTTACCACATTTAGGACAATCCTCTTTGATTTACCACTCGGCAGGTGAGTGGCAACACATTATGGTCCTTTTGCCTTCCATTAATATTTGTAAGACTTTTTTGTATTTTTTTAAGTTCCATATATAGGGGGTACATGTGTAGGTTTGTTACATGGGTGTATTGTGTGATGCTGAAGTTTGATGTATGGATTCTGTCACCCAGGTATTAAGCATAGTACCCAATAGGGAGATTTTCAATGCCTTCCCCGCAACAAGCCACCCTGCATAGTCTGCAATGTCTATTGTTCCCATGTTATGTCCATGAGTGCTCAATGTTTAGCTCATACGTATAAGTGAGAACATGAGATATTTGGGTTTCTGTTTCTGAATTAATTCACTTAGGACAATAGCCTCCAGCTTCATCCATTTTGCTGCAAAGAATATGATATCCTTTTTTATGGCTGTGTAATATTCTATGGTGTATATGTACAATCATGATGGCCTATATGTATATTAAGAATTAAATAGTAATATATATGCATAGTAAAATTATTTATGGTAGAATTATAATTTTCTAGATGAATAAGTAACTCTAATTCATGAAAAAGTTGTCATGGCTTGATTTCCTGCAAAGTCATAGGTAGATCCTGAGTTGTTACTGAAGCTAATATTATTTTACACTTATATAGCAGGTTGTAATATGCTCACCATTTTGCAAAACATTGGGAATGAAATTTGACCTATCAAGAAATCAAAGTATGACAGTTTGATACGTGTGTTTCTTTCTTGAGATCTTTCAGAGGTTGCATGTATGTCAGGTAATTATCTTTTATATAGCAAAGTAAAGATTGCTTTATAAAAGCTTTTAAGTTTCTGGAAACATGAGGAAATTTTCAAGATTTTCATAATTTTATTCAAGTAGGAAATATCAGACATGGCTCTGGAATAGGAACATACAGACTTGTGTTAGCAATATCCTTTTTAGAAAATGCAGTTGGTGTATGTAGCACCCCCAGAAAGAAAGAAACGTGAAGATGCTCTATTCTGTTCCTGACCACTCTGAGTATCAGACTGCTATCTACTGTTTTAAGGATTTAGATTTTTGCCAGAGCCAAATATCCAGATATAGCTATAGTAGGCTGGATTTTCTATCTTGGGGATTTAATAGCAGAATAAAAATAGTAATTGGGGGCCGGGTGCGATGGCTCACGCCTGTAATCCCAGGACTTTGGGAGGTTGAGGCGGGCGGATCACGAGGTCAGGAGATCTAGACCATCCTAGCTAACACAGTGAAACCCTGTCTCTACTAAAAATACAAAAAATTAACCGGGTGTGGTGGCGGGCGCCTGTAGTCCCAGCTACTTGGGAGGCTGAGGCAGAAGAATGGCGTGAACCTGGGAGGCGGATCTTGCAGTGAGCCGAGATCATGCCACTGCACTCCAGCCTGGGCAACAGAGCGAGACTCCATCTCAAAAAAAAAAAAAAAAGTAATTGGGAATGAGCATGTATTTAGGAATAAAACTATAAATTTTTTAGTATTCATTGATACATGTGTAAACATATATAAAATCTATGAATATAATGGAAAGATTTCTGACATCAATACCTAGTTATCTTCTTATCTTTCAAATATGGTACTTCCAGGGCAGTAAACTCACTTTGTATTTAGCTGGCACATCTTGCATTATTCTGTTCTCTTCATTCCACTTATATGTATCTCATGTCATTTTTTGTACTACATTTTGATACTTGGATAGTCATTATTTGTATTATTAGTTGCCCCAAATTTTCAATCTTTACATCAACAAGTACTCAAAGTTGAGTCTAATACTGTAGCTTAGGTAAGTTCTGTAGTGATTTTGCTTCTTGCTAATATGCTCTACAAAATGCTGGCTCCCTGGTTTGTCTATTAATCCCAGCACTGACTTCTGTCTGTCAGGCTCTGCAACTTTCATTTGATCTTGAATGTATGTCCTTGTGTTGGCTTTTGATACATAGATGTGACCAGGAAGACCCTTTTCTTGGGAAGAATCCCTTTTGAGTTGGAATTTTAGCTCAGGAATAGATGCAAAGGGCCATATTGCTTCCTAAATAATAATATTAAAAATGACCAATATTTTCTGCTTATCATACTACTTGCTGTTTATCAAGTCTTCATTTCTCACCTGGGTTTAGGCACTGGTAAGAACAGTAAAAATTCTGGTCCAAAAAATGTAATAAACATTTCTTAAATTCCATTTGGGTACTAAACACTATTCTGGGTCTTCCAACTTTTATTATCTTCCAGTCCTCAAAACAAACCTGGCTGATAGATAGTACTGTTATCTGTAAGATTAATAAACTACTTCTCAGATAGACAATGTGAACTTCCCAGGGTCATTCAGCTGGTAAATGGCTGCATTCAGGTGTCTTGACTGCCACTTCAATGATTCATAATCGATATGGTTTGGCTGTGTCCCCACCCAAATCTCATCTTGAATTGTAGCTCCGGTAATTCTCAAATGTCGTGGGAGGGACCCAGTGGGAGGTAATTCAGTCATGGGGGTGGGTCTTTCCCATGCTGTTCTTGTGGTGGTGAATAAGTCTTACGAGATCTGACGGTTTTATAAAGGGAAGTTCCCTTGTACATGGTCTCTTGCCCGCTGCCATGTAAGATGTGACTCTGCTCCTCTTTTGCCTTCCACCACGATTGTGAGGCCTCCCCAGCAATGTGAAAATGTGAGTCAGTTAAACCTCTTTCCTTTACAAATTACCCAGTCTTGGGTATGCCTTTATTAGCAGTGTCAGAACAGACAAATACAATAATTTTGCAAAATTTGAGACCTTTTAAAATGGCACAGAATAGGGCTCATCTCAGTGAATATTCTACGTGCACTTAAAAAGAATGTAAACTTTGCAGGGTAAGTTAGGTGTTGTAACCTAAACATAAAAATTATGTTAAAGTGGTTGATAGTGTTTTTCAGACTATGAATTTAATTTTATTATAATATCAGTTGCTGAGAGAGGGGTGGTAAAATTACTATGATTGTGGAATTATATATTTCTCCCTTGAGTTTTGTCTCTTCTTTTGACTTCATGTATTTTGAAGCTCTGTTATTAGGCACATACATATTTATGATCATTATGTCTTCCTGATGAATTGACCTGACCAGTGTTATGAAATGTGCCACTTTACTGCTGGTAATACTGTAGCTTGTAGTCCATTTTTTCTGATATTTGTATAACCACACAAGCTTTCTTACCCTTCCCATTTGCTTACTTACCTTCAGCCTAGTTGTATTTTTATACTAAAATATGTCTCTTCTAGCTAATATATACTTGGGTTTTGCTCTCTTTTTTAACCCATTTTTGATAATATCTGTCTTAAAGTTGGCATGTTTAGTTTGTTAACAATTAATTATTGCTGAAAGGATTGACTTTGGGCTTCCGTACCAGTTTTTTATTTGGTTCTGTTTGTCCCATCTGTTTTTGTTCCTTTGTTTTTTTCCTGCCATCTCTTGGATTACTCTAGTAATTTTTGCATATGATTTTAATGTAACTATTGACTTTTTAGCTATATCTCTTGCACTCTTTTTTTTGTGCTTTTTCTACAAATTACCATAAGCACCTACTTAGAAACAGCATTTGTCACTTAATGTAATGGGCAATAAACTTGCAACTATATAAATCTGATTCTTCTTCCTGTAATCCTCTGTGCTAGGCTGTCATATTTATTACATTTACATACATTTTACAGCCTCACAGGATGATGCTATAATATTTTCTTTAAAATGTCCTATGGATTTTAATGAAATTAAAAGGAAATGTAGCTTTTTATATTTGGCTCCCCACTTTTTATAAAAACATTTTTAAGGCTTTTTATTTCTTCCTAAAGATCCAGGTTTTTATATGGTATATCTTAAGCCTGTGGAACCCCCTTTATCATTTATTTTTATTTTTGCCCACTCATATACTCTGTTTCTTATTTTTATTGTTTCTGGGCCATTGGCTTTAAGTGTATAGTTTTTCTGTAAACAACAGACATCTGCATTTACTTTTTAATCTAATTTGAGACTTTAAAAAATAATTTCAGCTTTTATTTTAGATTCAGGTGGTACATGTACAGGTTTGTTACATGGGTATAGTATGTGATTCTGAGATTTGGGATATGAATGATCCCTTCACCCAAGTAGTGAGCATAATATCCAATAGGTAGATTTCCAGCCCTTCCCCTCCTCTGGTAGTCTTCAGTGTCTATTGTTCTCATCTTTATGTTCACGTGTACCCAATGGCTAGCTACCACTTATAAGTGAGAACATGCAATATTTGTTTTTTTGTTTGTTTGTTTGTTTCTCCACCTAGCATAATAACCTCCAGCTGCATCCATGTTGCTGCAAAGGACATGATTTTATTCCTTGTTATGGATGTATAGTATTGCTTAGTGTTCTATGTACCACATATTTAAAATCCAATGGCCTGTTGATGGGCACCTAGGTTGCTTCCATGTCTTTGCTATTGCAAATGATGCTGCAATAAACATATGAGTACCTATTGTCTTTTGGTAGAATGATTTACTTTTTATATACCCAGTAATGGGATTGCTGGGTCAATTGGTAGTTCTGTTTTAAGTTCTTTGAGAAATTTCTAAACTGCTTTCCACATCATTTGTTATAGCAGTGAATTTCTGTTGACAATGAATTCTCTTAGTTTTACTTTTAGAATAAAATATTTTTACTTTTATTCTTAAAGAATATTTTCACCGAGTATAGAATTTTTGATTTTTTTTTTTTAGTTTCAGTACTTCAAATAATACTTTTCCACTACTTTTTGGACTTAGCCATTTCTGATGAAGAGTTATTGGCCATTCAAGTTGTTGTTCCCTTATCATTTTTCTCTGACTGCTTTCATGATTTTATCACTCAGAAATCTGACTGTGATGTGTTTAGGAATTGTTCTTTTCATATTTACTCTGCTTGGGGTTCACTGAGCTTCTTGAATATGCACACTTATTTTTTGCCCAATATGGGAAAGTTTTAGTCACTATTTGTTCAAATATTTTTGTGCTTTAAAAAATTACTTCTTCTGGAACTGCAATTATGTACATCAGCACTTTTGCTTTTGTCCAAAAGTTCTCTGAGTTACTATTCACCTTTTATCTATCTTTTTTTGTTCTGTCTTCATGTTAGGTAACTTGTATTGATTCATTTTAAGGCTCATTTATTTTTCTGTCGTTTCCATTCTGTTTTTAAGTAAATTCAATTTAAGAAATCTCAGATATTGTCCCTTTCAGTTCTAAAATTTGCATTTAGAGTTTAAAAATCACTTTTTAACTCTTCTCCAAGATTTTTTTAAACAATTTCTCATTGTGATACTATTTTCATTGAGAATAATTATAATAATTCTTTTAAAATCCTTTTGTGATAATTTTACTACTTGGTTTTTCTTGTAATATGTCTCAGTTGATGTATTTTCTCTTGATCTGGGCTAGACATTTCTGATTCTTCATGTGTCAAGTAATTTAGAATTGTGTCTGGGGCATTGTGAATGTTATAGAGACTGAATTTGGCTGTATTTCTCTGAAGTATGTTGATATAATTAATTGGTTGGAGTCAAATGGTAAACTCTGCCTCTTAACTGGCAGCTCAGATCTCGGTTCAGTTTTTTCATCTTTAACCTATACTGCTCTGAGTTTGCCTAGTGCATTTGTAGTTTTAGGGGTCAAATACATGGACAGGGTTTCGGAGGATAATTTGGGGCTCAAATCTGTGCCTTTTCATTTCCCTGATTCCTCTCCTATTTATGAATATCTATAATTTACCTGAACTTTTCTCTGATTTTCTAGGATAGAAAGACTGTGGATTTTTCTGTTGTAATTTTAGCAAATTTTATGTTTCCAACTTCAGTTTGCCCATAGGGGAAAAGCCATAAAAACTGAAAATGCACTCCATTCTAGTCCCTTTTGGCCCTGTAGAATCTTAGCCTTACTGGAAGCCTTATTTTGCATTATTGTCTAAACTGTTGTGGGCTTTAAAAAATATTTTAATATCATAACTTAGAGTTTCACAATATCATAATTTCATTTTATATTCAAATACAAACTATTTCATGATAATTAAATCTTTCCAAAGATTCCTTTAGACACTTTCCCAAATTGAATTTTTGTAAATTATACTCAAATACTGATAGAGTGATTTCACAAGTACCAAAATAAAATATTTTTTCATTGTGGGCATTTAAATTAACTAAATGTATTATCAAACTCTATTAGAATGCTAAACATTATGAAGCAAGCTTAAAGTTTATAAAGCAGCTTTTTCAGTATTCAGAAGCTGCAATGGGAATTTTGTTTCTGTGAAGACCAAAGATTTGTGATCTATGTTGGTGGTGATCATAGAAGAAAAATCAAGGGAATAAATTGTTGTGCCAAAATTACCTGTATAGGCAGTGTTTTTGATGTCATAGAGCAATCTTGGCTTCCCTTTCTTATTATAATGGTATCAGATTCTCATTGTTAAAGAATTCCTCATCCCCAGCTACTCTATTACTTTGGAATTTGTAGAAAGGTCAGTGAGTCTCAGGAGTTGTGATTACTTTTTCTAGCTGACATTTATTGATCTCATTACCTTCATGCTCATATTTCAGAAAAATTTTTTTCATTCTGTTACCATTTCAAAGATGACAGAAATGCTGCAGTGCTCACTGTATTAGAACTGTATGTAATTAAAATTTGTACTGTGTTTCATCACAATTCACTGTCAGAACCATAGCATGTGTTGTTTATAAATTAGATTGTTATAATTAGAACACACAATGTGCATAAAGAAGGCTGAATTTATATGCTAACATATCTTTTATATCTTTTCATGAAAATGAATGTTGTAGAATCTTTGGGAATAAAACATTTTACTAGTACTGAATGGCTCACTTGACTCTCGCCGTTGCCAGTGCTTCGTCTTAAACGATTGCTTTTGCAAAATCATTTCTAAAAAAGATTCTAGAGACAAGGAATATTAAAGAGATGTGTATAAAGATGATTAAGTAAACTATACATAACCATGTTTTAATTTTTCCTAAGACTGAGCCATAATTAGATAGGTTTATTATAAATATATAGATTTATAATATATGTAATACTTTCAAATATTTAAACTCACAGTTCTAGCCCAATTTTACTTGTCTACATTTAAAAGAAAAACTTTAAAAGGATGGTGAAATAGTTTTTAAAAAGGTTTATTTGCATGAGGTAGATTTAGGAACAGTTTTTCTTTTGTCTGTTTAAGCCACAATTGTACATACTGAATTCCTTCTTCCTATTTGCCAAGAGACCATCCAACCAGAAAGATTTAAAAATTCTCTCTATGAAAGTCAAGAATAGGCACAGGACATTCAGCTGTCATGATGAATCAGAAAACTAATCTATGAACCATTTGCTGGAGGTTATTTTAGATGGATTAATTTACAGAACACCCTAGTTTACAGAGGCTAATAAATTATAGTTGATAGTTATGATCAAAACCATTATTAGATAGGTATGCCATTGTTTATGTATACATCTTAGTCCTTTGGGCCGTAGATTTGGCCCCTATTAATTCACTTCTGAGGATTATTAATTTCTTTATTCTCATTTCTAATTTGAGAGATAAAATTCAGAGAAGCATGGTTTGCCCCTCACTGGTGGTTCATCGGTTTTAAGGACCTACTGATACTCTGTAACCTAAAGTTTGTTCATATTTCTGACAAATTTGCAATCTCTCTCTTTACTTGTATTTATTTAAAGATTACTGACACATGACATTCATCAGTCTCAGGCAAACGCTAACCTCACTGCCAAACACAAAGACATAATCATTTTTGACTTCCGCATTAGGCTCAAAAAAATTCTGGATTGAAATATTCACTAACCATAACAGAATATACTAATTCCAAGAAATAAGTGTATTCATGTGCCATTTTATAAGGTCAGCCTAATATTCCTGAAGAAAACACCCCCATGTTCTTTCTTATAAAATGACTTCTTATTATTTTTAATGACAAGCATGTTTTATGATATGTGGATAATACATGTGAAGTTCAGAGATTCTCTGTGTAATTAATGAATTAATCTAGGTGGGAGATAAACTAGTTTTAAAAAGAAAATGAGTCTATTTTAATAACACTCATGTCTTCAGATATTGGTCAGAGACCAGAACTGTCTTGTCAACCCAAGACATTTTTTTTCAATAGGCATTATTATGGATAAAGCGGATTATTTGAAATCAAATCAACAAATTTACTGACTAGTACCATATATTAGGTGCCATGCTGGCTGTAGTAGAAAATATGAAGATGCTGGCACCAAGTACTGGGCTAGTCAGTTATAGATATTATTTTATTTATTCCCAACAATGTTGAACGGGGCATTAGTTCCATTTTTATAGCTGATGATATAGGCTGATGGTTAAGAAATAGTAGAGAAATTATTAGATACCAGCAATGCCAAAATGCAAAGCCCTTTTGTTTATTGTAGCATCTTCATATTTCTTTGATCATACGTATACTCTGAATGAATTATGAAAACTATGCTCCCTCTCATGCATGTTTAAGTTGAAACCCAAATTTTTTTCATCACAAATAAGTTATTATAAATAATGTGCTTTTGACATATTGCAAATATTGGCATTTAAAAATTTATCTCCAGATCACTCACTTAAAAATGTCCAATTGCATCTAAATATCACAATGATTTGATGCTCTTCATCATTTATTTTTTAGAAAGTACACACACATATTGTTTATGTCATAGAAGTGAATGGCTGTTAAAATTTGTGTCAGCTGGGGTTCTCCAGAAAAACAGCACCAACGGGATATACAGAGAGATATATAAGAGCAGATTTATTACCGGGGTTGGCTCGTATGGTTATAGAAGTCCCACAATCTTCTGTTTGCAAGCTGCAGAACCAGGAAAGCAGAGAAAGCAGAGGGAGTAATTTGGTCTGAGGAGAATGTGATTGAGGTTGGTGATGGTGTTAGAGCTGGTCTGAGTCCAAAACTCTGAGAACCAGGAGCACTGAAGTCCAAGGGCAAGAGAAAAATAGATGTCTCAGATCAGGCAGAGTGATCAAATTCACACTCTTTCTGCCTTTTTGTTTGTATACAGGCCCTTAATAAACTGAACGATGCCTGCTCACATGGGCTAGTGTGATCTTCTTTACTCATCCTACTAGTTCAAATACTGATCCCCTGTGGGAACATCCTCACAGACACACCCAGAAATAATGTTTACCCAGAGCTATGTGGGAATTCCTTACCCCAGTCAAGTTGACCCATGAAGTTAACCATCACATAGTTACATGGTCAATAGAAATAACCTTTGGTTATAACCCTTTGGTCAATAGAAACAATCCTTGCCTCTGCAATTTTTCTGTCCACTCAGTTAATATTAATACTTCTACCATTTATGCTGGTTTTTATTTGGCAAACTTTTATATATTCTTATATTTTTAACATTCGTGCAGAATTTTGTTTTACATATATCTCTTCTAGGCAGAATATATTTTTAAATTTTTTAAATTTTTAATTTTTGTTGGTATATAGTAGAGATATATATTTATGAGTGTATATATTTATAGAATACATGAGATATTTGATACAGGCATTCAATGTGCAATAATCATATCAGGGTAAATGGGGTATCCATCACCTCAGGCATTTAACCTTTCTTTATGTTACAAACAATCCAATTATACTCTTTTAGTTATTTGAAAATGTATGATAAATTATTGTTGACTGTAGCCACCCTGTTATGTTATCAAATACCAAATCTTATTCATTCTATCTAGCTATATTTTTGTGCCCATTAACCATCCCCATTTCCCTCTCCACCATTACCCTTCACAGCCTTAGGTAACTGCATTCTGTTCTCTGTTACCATGAATTCAATTGTTTTAATTTTTAGCTTCCACAAATAAGTGATAACATTCTATGTTTGTCTTTCTGTGCCTGGCTTATTACACTTAATATAATGACCTCCAATTCCATCCATGTTTTTGCAAATGATAGAATCTCATTCTTTTTTATGGCTTCATTGTAAATATGTACCACATTTTCTTTATTCATTCATCTGTTGATGGACGCTTAGGTTACTTTGAAATCTTCACTATTATGAATAATATTGCAGTAAACATGAGAGTGAAGATGTCTCTTCGATATACTGATTTCCTTTCTTTGGGGATATACCTAGCAGTGAGTTGTCTGGATTATATGGTAGCTCTATTTTAATTTTTTTGAGGATCCTCCAAACTGTTCTCCATAGTGGTTGTACTAATTTACATTACAACGTTTGAACCAACAGTGTACAAGGGTTCACTTTTCTCCACATGCTCTCCAGCATTTTGTATTGCTTGCTTTTTGGATATAAGGCATTTTAATTGGGGTGAGATGGTATCTTATTGTAGTTTTAATTTGCATTTTTCTAGTGATCAGTGATGCAGAGCACATTTTCTTATGGCTGTTTGGCATTTTTATATCATTTTTAAAGAAATATCTATTCAAATATTGTGTCCCTTTTTAATCAGGTTTGTAGATCCTTTTCCTGTAAGGTTGTTTGTACTCATATATTCTGGTTATTAATCTGTTGTCAGATGGATAGTTTGCAAAGATTTTCTCCCACTCTGTGGGTTGTCACATCACTTTGCTGACTGTTTCCTTTGCAGTGCAGAAGCTTTTTAAATTGATGTGATCCTATTTGTCAATTTTTGCTTTGGTTGCCTGTACCCATGGGGTATTACTCAACAAGTCTTTGCCCAGTCCCATATAATGGAGAGATTCCTTAACGTTTTCTTTTAGTAGTTTCATAGCTTGAGGTCTTATATTTAGGTCTTTAATGCACTTTCATTTGATTTTTGTATATGTTGAGAGACAGGGGTCTAGTTTCATTCTTCTGCATATGGATATCCAGTTTTCCCAGCACCATTTATTGAAGAAACTGTCATTTCCGCAGTGTATGTTCTTGGCACCTTTGTCAAAAATGAGTTAACTGTAGATGATGGATTTGTTTCTGAGTTCTCTTTTCTGTTCTCTTTTCTGGAACAGAAAACTACTTCTAGATGAATATTGGCGGAAAAATCCTCGACAAAGTATTTGCAAACCAAATTCAAAAATAAAATAAAAGATCAGTGGAAGAGAAAAGGAAACCCAAAAACAAATCCATACATCTACAGTGAACATTAACCATTCTGTTGGATAATACCATGCTGTTTTCATGTTAATACCATGCTGTTTTTGTTACTATAGCTATATAGAATAATTTGAGGTCAGGTAATGTGATTCCTCCAGTTTTGCTTGTTTTTTTTTTTTTTGCTTTGCTTTTGTTCAAGATAGCTTTGACTATTCTGGGTCTTTTGTGGTTCCACGTAAATTTTAGGATTGTTTTTTGTATTTTGTGAAGAATGTAATTGGTATTTTAATAGGGATTGCATTGAATTTGTAGATTGCTTTGGATAGTATGGGCATTTTAACAATATTGATTATTTTAATCCGTGAACATGGTGTCCTGTTCAATTTCCTTTTTCAAAGTTTTGTAGTTTTCATTGTAGAGATTTTTCACTTCTTTAGTTAATTCCCAGTTATTTTATTTTATTTGTAGCTACTGTAAACGGGATTACTTTCTTGATTTCTTTTTCAGATTGTTTGTTGTTGGCTACAGACATGCTACTGATTTGTGTATGTTGATTGTGTATCCTGCAACTTTACTGAATTAGTTTATTCTCATAGATTTTTGGTGGAGACTTTAGGTTTTTCCAAATATAAGACTATATCATCTGCAAACAAGGATAATTTTATGTCTTCCTTTTCATTTTGGATACCCTTTATTTCTTTCTCTTGTCTGATTGCTTTAGCTAGGACTTCGAGAAATATGTTGAATACCAGTGGTGAAAGTGGGCATGCTTGTCATGTTCCAGATCTTAGAGGAGAGGCTTTCAGTTTTTCCCTATTTAGTATGATACTAGCCGTGGGTCTGTTGTATATGGATTTTATTGTGTTAGGGTATGTTTCTTCTATAGCCAATTTTTTAAGAGTTTTTATTCTGAAGCGATGTTGGATTTTATCAAATGATTTTTCAGCATCAATTGAAATGATCATATGGTTTTTGTCCTTCTTTCTGTTGATATGATGTATCACATTGATTGATTTACATATGTTGAACCATCTTTGCATCCTAGTATAAATCCCACTTGGTTATGGTGAATGATTTTTTTTTTTTTTTGAGACAGAGTCTTGCTCTGTCACCCAGGCTGGAGTGCAGTGGCACGATCTTGGCTCACTACAAGCTCCGCCTCCCAGGTTCACACCATCCTCCTGCTTCAGCCTCCTGAGTAGCGGGGAATACAGGAGCATGCCGCCACGCCCAGCTAATTTTTTGTATTTTTAGTAGAGACGGGTTTTCACCGTGTTAGCTAGGATGGTCTCCATCTCCTGACTTGGTGATCCACCTGCCTAGGCCTCCCAAAGTGCTGGGATTACAGGCGTGAGCCACTGCGCCTGGCCGCATGATCTTTTTAATGTATGTTTGAATTTGGTTTGCAAATATTTTGTTGAGGATTTTTGTGCCAATATTCATCTAGAAGTAGTTGTTTTGTTCAATGTTCTTCCTTTGGTTTTGATATCAGGGTAATACTGGACTCATTAAGTGAGTTTTGAAGTATTCCCTCCTCCTTTCTTTTATGAATGCTTGGTAAAATTTGTCAGTGAAGCCATCAGGTCCTGGGCTTTTCTTTCCTGTGAGACTTTTTATTGTGGGTTTGATCTTGTTATTGGTCCATTCAGTTTTTGGATTTCTTCGTGGTTCAATCTTTGTACGTTGTTTATGTCTAGGAAATTATCCATTTCTTCTAGGTTTTCCAATTTATTGCAATATAGTTGCTCATGGAAGTCTCTAGTGATGCTTTGAATTTCTGCAGTATCAGTTGTATTATAATGTCTCCTTTTTCATCTCTGATTTTATTTATTATAATCTTCTCTCTTTTTTTTTAGTCTGCCTAAAAGTTTGTCAATTTTGTTTATTTTTTCAAAAAAACTTTGTTTCATCAGTCTTTTGAATTGTTTTCTTCATTTCAAATTCATTTATTTCTACTCTGATTTTTATTATTTCTTCTACTAATTTTTGCTTTGGATTGCTTTTGTTTTTCTAGTTCTTTAAGGTGCATGGTTAGGTTATTAATTTGAAGTTATTTTTCTTTTCTCATGTAGATATTTGTAGCTATAAACTTCCCTCTTACTACTGCTTTTACTGTATCTCATAGGTTTTAGTATGTTGTGTTTCCAATGTCATTGGTTTTAAGAAAATTTACAATTTTTTTCTTAATTTCTTCATTGACCCACAGGTCATTCAGGAGCATATTGTTTAACTTCCATTTGTTTTTATAATTTCCAAAATCCTTTTGTTATTGTTTTCAGGTTTTATTCCATTGCAGTCAGCGAAGATATTGGATGTAATTTCATTTTTTTTTTGAATTTTTTAAGACTTACTTTGTGGCCTGACGTATGGTCTGTCCTTGAGAATGATCCATGTACTGAGGAAAGCATGTGTGCTCTGCACACATTGATGAAATGTTCTGTAAATATCTATTAGGTCCATTTGGCCTATAGTGCAGACTGAGTCTGATGTTTCCTTGTTGATTCTCTGTCTGGATGATCTGTCTCATGCTGAAAATCAAGTGTTGAAGTTTCCAGCTATTATTGTATTGGGATCTATGTCCCTCTTTAGCTCTAACAATATTTGCTTTATATATCTGGGTGCTCTAGTGTTGGGTGCATATATATATTTACAATTGCTATATCCTCTTGCTGAATTGATTCCTTTATCATTATATAATGACTTTCTTTGTCTCTTCTTAATAGTGTTTTTAATCTATTTTGTCTGATATAAGTATAGCTACTGCTGCTCTTTTTTTTTTTTTTTTTTTTGGTTTCCCTTGGCATGGAATATCTTTTTCCAGTCCATTATTTTCAGTCTCCGTGTGTCTTTATAGGTGAAGTGTATTTCTTTCGGGTAATGAATTGTTGGGTCTTGTGTTTGTGTCCATTCATTCATTCTATGACTTTTGATCGGAGAGTTTAGTCCATTTACATTCAATATTGTTATTGATATGTAAGGACTTACTCTTGCCATTTTGTTATTTGTTTTTTGGTTGCTTTGTGGTCTGCTTTTCCTTCTTTCATTCCTTCCTGTCTTTCTTTCAGTAAAGGTGATCTTCTCTGGTTGTATGTTTTAATTTTTTCCTTTTTACTTTTTTTTTTGCGTCTGTTGTTTGATTTTTTATTTGAAGTTACCATGGGGTTTGCAAATAATATAAGCCATTATTTTATACTGATGACAATGAATTATTGCATGAACAAATAAACAAACTAAAAAACAAGCAAAGATACAACTAATAAAAACTCTACACTTTAACTTGGTCCCGCTGCTTTTTTAAAAAACTCTTTATTGTTTGTATTTATATTTTACTGTATTGACTATGTGTTGAAGAATTGCTGTAGTTATTTTTTTGATAGGTTCATATTTCGGTATTTTTACTCAAGATATAAGTAGTTTGCACACTACAATTACTGTGTTATAATATTCTGTGTTTTACTGTGTACTTACTATTACCGGTGAGTTTTATGTGTTCAGGTGGTTCCTTATTGTTCATTAACATCCTTTTCTTTCAGATTGAAGAACTCCCTTTTGCATTTCTTGTAGGACAGGTCTGGTGTTGATAATGGCCCTCAGCTTTTGTTTGGAAAAGACCTTATTTTTCTTTTACATTTCAAGGATATTTTTCCTGGATGTGCTATTCTAGGATAACAATTTTTATTCTTCAGTACTTTAAATATGTCATGCCTCTCTCCCTTCTGGCCTGTAAGGTTTCTACTGAAAAGTCTGCTGCCAGCCATATTAGAGCTCCATTGTATGTTGTTTCTTTTTTCTTGCTGCTTTTAGAATCCTTTCTTTATCCTTGGGAGTTTGATTGTTAAATGTCTTGACGTAGTCTTCTTTAGTTTAAATCTGCTTGTTGTTCTATAATCTTCTTGTACTTGAATGTTATATCTTTCTCTGGGTTTGGGAAGTGTTTTTTGTTGTCCCTTTGAATAAAATTTCTCTCTCTCTCTCTCTCTCTCTCTCTCTCTCTGTCTGCTCTTTAAGACTAATAACTAGCTGGGCGCGGTGGCTCACGCCTGTAATCCCAGCACTTTGGGAGGCCGAGGGGGGCAGATCACGAGGTCAGGAGATCAAGACCATCCTGGCTAACACAGTGAAACACCATCTCTACTAAAAATACAAAAAAAAATTAGCCGGGCGTGGTGGCATGCGTCTGTATTCCCAGCTATTCGGGAGGTTGAGGCAGGAGGATGGCGTGAACCCGGGAGGCGGAGCTTGCAGTGAGCCGAGATCGCGCCACTGCACTCCAGCCTGGGCGACAGAGAGACTCCATCTCAAAAAAAAAAAAGAACAAAAACAAAAACGAATAACTCTTGTATTTACGCTTCATTCTTTTTATCCTTTTTTCTTTTGTGTCTTCTGGCTGTATATTTTCAAATAACCTGTCTTCAAGCTCACTGATTCTTTATTCTGCTTTATTAATTCTGCTGTTAAGAGATTCTGGTGCATTCCTCAATATGTAAATTGCACTTTTCAACTTCAGAATTTCTGTTTGATTCTTCTAAATTATTTCAATCTTGTCGTTCAATTTATCTAATACCAATCTGAATTCCTTCTCTGTGTTATCTTGAATTTCTCTGAGTTTCCTTAAAACAGCTATTTTGAATTCTCTGTCTGAAAAGTCACAAATCTCTGTTTCTCCAGGAGGTTACTGGTGCCTTATTTAGTTCATTTGGTAAGGCCATATTTTTCTTTTGGGTATTCATTAGTGTCTGGGCATTGAAGAGTTAAGCATATATTGTAGTCTTTGCAGTCTGGGCTTGTTTGTAACTATTCTTCGTGTCAAGACTTTACGGGTATTTCAAGAAACCTGGGTGTTGTGACCTAAGTTTTTTGTCATTGCAGCCATATTTGCATGAGGGAGCACCCTAAGCCCAGTAACGCTGTGGTTCTTATAGACTCATAGAGGTACCACCTTGGTTGTCTTGGATAAGATGTGGAAGAATTCTCTGGATTACCAGCAGAGAGTATTGCTTTCTTTTCTTACTTTCTCCCAAACAAATGGAGTCTCTCTCTGTGCTGAGCTGCCGGAGCTGTGGGAGGGGTGACACAAGCACACCTGTGGCCACCACCACTGGGAGTGTGCTGGATCAGATCTGAAGCCAACACAGGACTGGGTCTTATCCAAGGCCTGCGGTAATCACTGCCTGGTGACCACTTATGTTCACTCAAGGTACTGGGTCTCTACAATCAACAGGTGGCAAAGCCCAGCCAGCCTTGTGTCCTTCCTTTCAGGGCAGAGAGTTCCCCCAGCCCTGGACAGGTCTAGCGGTGCCATCTTGGAGCTAGTGCCTGGGGTTGGAAACCTTAGGGATCTATCTGATGCTGTAATCTACTGTGGCTCAGCTGGCGTAAAAACCTCAAGATAAAGTTCTTATGACTCTTCCCTCCCATTTCCACAAGCAGAGGCGTCTCTCCCCATGGCCACCATCACCCAAGGCCTGTGGCAAGAACTGCCCAGCTGTCACTGATGTTCACTCTTCAGTCAGCTTTTAGTGAATGATTCTCTTCCTGGGACTCTCCCTTCAGGGAAGTGGGCTCCCCTCTGACCCAGGGAAGGTCCAAAAATACCATGCAAGAGCCAAGACCTGGAAATGGGGACCCCAAGAACGTGTCTGATGCCTTACACCACTGTGGCTGCACTGGGTACCTAAGCTGCAAGGCAAAGTCCCCTTTACTCTTCCCTCTGTTTTTCTCAAGCAGAAGGAGTCTCTCCACATATCCACCACAGCTGGGATTGTGCTGGGTCATATCTGAAGCTAGCACACATCTAAGTCTCATCCAAGGCCCACAGTGAGTATTGCCCGACTACCACTGCTGATTATTTAAAGTCGAAGGGCTCTTCAGTCATCAGATGATTAATCCTGCCAGGACTGGATCCTTCCCTTCAAGGCAGAGGGTTCCCTTCTGACCCAGGGTATGTCTAGAAATGTTTTCCAGGAGCAAGGGCCTGGAATGGGAGCCTCAGAACTCTGCCTGGCACCCTCTTCTACTGTGGCTGAGCTGGTGTCCAAGTTGCAAGACAAAGTCCACTTTACTGTCCCCCCCCTTTCCTCAAGCAGAGGGAAGGAGTCTCTCTCAGAGCTGTGAGCTACTTCCCTGGGGTTAGGGGAAGGGTGATGCAAGCACTTCTTTGGCCACCCCAGTTGGTGTTTCACAGGGTCATGTACCCCCAAGTCCACTGGCTCCAAGTCCAGCACAGTACCAGGACTTTTCCAGGAATTGCAGTCTTTGTGGCCTAGACTACCTCTCCAGTTTATATGGGACTCAAGAGCATTTTCCCTGTGGTGGCAAGGCTTGCTAGAAGTGAGGTTCCTATTGTTGAGATGGGTGATTCCCCTCTGGCTAGGCTGTTCTAAATGCTCCCTCTGTGGACAACAGCTGAGTTCTGTCTGGTGTTGCTTTCCACCCTGACAGGGCAGCACTAACTTCCAAGACAAAGTCCCATAATCACTACAGTCTTCCTCCCCTAAGTGCACAGATTCTGATTCTCTGTCTACACCACATGGCTGCTGCCAGGGGGTGGGGAAGGGGTAGCATCGGCAATTCAAGACGGTCTTTGCTATCTTCTTCAGTGCTTCTTTCAGTGATACGAAGCTAAAACCAGGTACTGTGATTAATCACCTGATTTTTGATTCTCATAAAGGTGCTTTTTTCTGTAGGTAGTTGTTCAATTTGGTGTTTCTGTGGGGAGAATGATTGGTGGAATCTTCAATCGAGACATCTTGCTCCACCTCCTCCTCCTATTCCTTTAATCTTTAAACCAAATCAGACAAATCAATTTTTAAATAAATTTAAATGAATCATATACATTGATATAACAGATTCCTGTTGTACTAGTTTTCAATCACTGAGTAACAAATTACTGCACACATAATGGCTTAAAACAATACCAATTTATGATCTCACTATTATGTAGTTATAAGGTCAGGAATGGAGTGACTGAATTCTCTGTTCACTGTTGAGCTGGTTATGTTTTCATTTGAAGATCAGGGTACTCCTCCAAACTCATTCACATTGTTGGCAGAGTTCAGTTCCTTAATGGGTATCTGCTAAGGTGTCACTTTCGTCTCTTTAAGGGTCCTCTAGGTCCCTTGCCACATGACCCTCTTTCTCTTCAAAGACAGCAATGGGGAACTTCCTGCATATCAAATACCCATTCTCAAATTTGAAACTCTTCTTTACGAACAGAGCTCAACTACCTAGGTTAAGCCCACTGAGGATAATCTGCCCTTATTAAGGTCAGCTGTGCCAGGTATCATAACCCAGTCATGGAAGAGACTATTCCATCACATTCACAAAGCCTGTCCACCATCAATGGAGGGGTTTATACAGAGGTGCACACTGAAAGGCGGGTATAATGGGAACATCTTAGAATTATGCCTAGCACAGTTGTCTTTACTTTTGTAATCTTACTTTACAATGTATTTGGCCCTCTTAATTTTTTTCTAAAGAAATTTTACTTTATTAAAAACCTTTATACTATAAAGATAGTTTGAACAGTGGTCAAGAGTACGATGATCAAGGGCATAATTTTAGAGCCATTATTTAGACTTAAATCATAGCTCTTACTACTTATGTGAAATGGGGCAAGTTATTTAACCACTCTTGCCTCAGTGTCTCATCTGTAAATGAGAATAGTATTACCTGCTCCATAGGGCTGTTTTGATGACTAAGTGAATTAATATGCACAAGACACACACAATACAGTCCAAAAGAATAACAGTTATTAAGTGTTAGCTGTTAGTATTTATCTTTCACAGTTACCTGGAAGATATTAATTCTGTTTTGTAATCTACTAGATTTCAGTTATACACTGAAGCTATGTTTATCTAGCTACCCATACATGCATTTGCTATTATGGATGTCCTAGTCTTTATTAATATTCTATTGCATTAATATTAACATTTTTATTAATAGAATTAATATCAATGTTGGTATTCTATTTTATATCATGGCTCTATGACAGAAAAATTGAAGAAAGTGGAGGTGCCTGCAAAGTTGTCTATACAGAAAGGAGAGGCAAAGGGAATACAAACTCCTGAGATGAGAGATGGCTAGATGTGTCCTGAGCAATAGCAAATTTGTCCAGTTTGTGGCTGGAAGTGAACAAGGAGGGAGTGGTAAGAGATAAGATCAGAGAGAGATCTTATTTGTCTAGATCATGTAGGGTCTTGTACTTTAGTTTTCACTCAGAGGAAGCTAGAAAGCCATTGAAGGTTTTAAAGCAAACATGACGTAATCTGTATTTTGTTTTAAAAAGAAAACGATCATTACTGTATCACACTACATTGAAACAAAGGTAAGAGAAGCAGCCCAGATAGTTGAAGTGGATCATGACAGTAGCTTAGACTAGAGTAGTAGATATGGGGGTAGTTAGAATTAGATTATCTTGAACTATTAGATTCTGGATATTTGAAGAAAAAGTTGAGAGTATTTATAGTTAGTTGTATATAGTTATGAGGAAAAGCAAGAATTAAGTTATGCCTATAAATGTTTTGATCTCAGAAATCAGAAAAAAAATAGAATTGCCATTTACTGACATATAGGACTATGAGAGGAAAAGATATGGAAGAGATCAAGAGTCAGTTTTAAACATGTTGCCTCTTAGTTGCCTAGCTGAAGATGTTAAGAAAACAATTTGGGAGGCTGAGGCAGAAGAATGGCGTGAACCCGGGAGGCAGAGCTTGCAGTGAGCCGAGATCCCGCCACTGCACTCCAGCCTGGGCGACAGAGCGAGACTCCGTCTCAAAAAAAAAAAAAAAAAAAAAAAAAAAGAAAACAATTTGAACATATTCATTTAGAGTTCACAAGTCAGGTTTGGCTTGGTGATGCAAGTTAGCAATTTTTCAGGAGATTGACAGTATTTGTGGTTATGAGTTTACATGAGATCTCTTAGGGAGTGAACATAGATAAAGAGGACATGAGTACAGGAAAAGAGTCCTAAGGAATATCAATGTTGCAGATAATGAAGGAAGAGAGAAAGAAAGGGGACAAATGCGGGAGTTATGCCTCTGAGTAGACAATAAGTGGATGGTATCGGTGAATAGTGCATGATATCCAGTAAACTCAGGAACATCTGAGTTTAGATAGGAGAATTAACAGTTCATTATACTGCTGGACAAAATTCCTACCCACTGGGGTAGGTTGTTCCCATAACACTTGGGAATAGAGTGGGGAAGAGAGAGAGAGAAAGAGAGAGATGAGATTGGAACAGAGGGTGGGAGAGAGAGATTGGGAGAGGAGGGAAAGGGAGGAGGGAGAGAGAATATGAACAAGTAGTAAATTAGGGATGGCCCCATGTGTTTCAAATGTGAAATTGTAATAGAAAATATTGTTATATTTTGAATTTTTATGTGTTATGATACAGGATTTGGCCAACAGTAACCCATGGTCCCATTCTGGACAGCTGCTTGTTTTTGTAAATAGTTTTATTAAAATGCAGTGGCACTCATTCTTTTATGCATTGTCTAGGGCTGCTTTCATCCTGCAGCAGAATTCAGTAGTTGCAATAAAGACCATATGCAAAGGAACAAAACTGGACCCTTGCTTTCACCACATACAAACGTTAACTTAAGAGGGATTAAAGATGTAAATGTAAGACCTCAAACTACAAGAATCCTAGAAGAACACCTAGTGAACATCATTCTGGACATCGGCCTTGGGAAATAATTTATGACTAAGTCCTCAAAAGCAATTGTAATAAAAATTAAAACTGAAAAATGAAACCTAATTAAACTCAAGAGCTTCAGCACAGCAAAATAAACTATTAAGAGAGTAAAAATATACCCTACAGACTGAGAGAAAATATTCACAAACTGTGCATCCAACAAAGGACCAATATCCAGAGTCTGTAAAGAATTTAAGCAATTGAACAAGCAAAAAAAATAATAATCCCATTAAAAATTGGGCAATAGACATGAACAAACACTCCTCAAAGGAAGACTGGCAAGTGGTCAATAAACATATAAAACATGCCCAACACCACTAATCATCAGAGAAATGTATTTCAAAATCACAGTGAGATACCATCTCACACCAGTCAGAATGACTTTATCAAAAAGTCAAAAAACAACAGGTGTTGGCCAGGCTAAGGAGAAAAGGGAATGCTTATACACTGTTGGTGGGAATGTAAATTAGTTCCACTACTGTGGAAAGCAGTTTGGAGACTTCTCAAAGAACTTACAACAGAATTACTCTCTGACCCAGCAATCCCATTACTGGGTATATATACAAAAGAAAATAAATTATTCTACTAAAATGACACGTGCACTCATACATTCATCACGGCACTTTCACAATAGTAAAGACATGGAATCAACCTAGGTGCCCATTGTTGGTGGATTGAATGAAGAAAATCTGGTACATATACACCATGAATTACTAAGTAGCCATAAAAAAAGAATAAATTACGTCCTTTGCAGTAACATGGATGTAGCTGGAGGTCATTATCCTAAGGAAATTAACACAGGAACAGAAAACCAAATACTGTGCCTTTTCACTTATAAGCGGGAGCTAAACATTGAGTACTTATATACATAAATATGGCAACAATAGACACTTCGGGCTTCTCGAATTGGGAGGGAGGGAGGGGTTGAGTACTATGCTCACTACCTGAGTGATGGATCATTTTTACCCCAACCCTCAGCATCACACAATATACCTACATAACAAGCCTGCACATGTATCCCTGAATCTAAAACAAAAGTTGAGAATACAATTATCCATTCATCTGTTTATGACATTTGGGTTGTTTCTACATCTTGGCTGTTGTGAATATTGATGCGGCTTCAGATGTCTCTTTAAGATCCTGATTTCAATTCTTTTGGATGGATATTCAGAAGTGTGATGCTAGATCATATGGTAGTGGTAATTCTACTAATTTTTTTGAGAAAACTCCATATATTGTGTTTTCTTCTATTTTCACACTGAAATGTTTGTTGACTACTGTGATAGAAAACCAAGGCTGTCAGAGTATAAGGTAATAGAAGATTGTTGTTTGGTAGCATATTCTCAGAGAAGAGCAAGTCCCCATAATTTTGCCAAATGTGCTCTGGGGTTAGGCCTGTCCAATCCTGATGCGCTTCACCCATTGAACAATTCATTTCATTATTCAATCATGTAAATGGAACATTAAAAAAACTGGTCACTTTTTTTCCTTTTAAAATTATTGTCCTCCTCTGATTCATTTATTTTACAATTAACTATTGAACACTTAGCATGCAGGAGGACCGTTTTTCTAACCACAGAGGAATAGTAAACTAGACAAAAATCTTCATCCCCAGAGGAGCTTATGTTCTACACCTGTAGTGCTCATGTCTTGAAATTTTACAACTACTAACTTAAAACTTTTGCTAGGGGACTCTGAAGAAAATGACAGCTTGAGTGTTTATCAACTCTTCTACTCCCAATCATTTGTCTGTCTAAAGAGATAGCATGTATTCTCTGCCACTCTTAGAGGTGATTAGCCTTTGTGTACTTGTGATTTCCCTGCTGGAGAAAAGTCATGCTAACCTGCTTGTGCAGAGTCCTGGGAAGGTCGACTATGTCTTGCTAGACCTTGAGGACTTGCAGGAAAATTGAAAGCTGAAAGACTACTGCCTCATAAGCTTGGTAAGTCCTAGGCAGATCCTCAGTAGTTGATTCCTGGTCAGCAGTTTTGTTTTATAAAAATTTTGATATGTACACCAGTAAAAGACGTATATAGAAACATGAGACAAGAATAGTAACATCAGAGATAAATTAGATGGTTTTTCTAAGGCAGCAAGTACATATATGTAAAATATCACCTCAAAGAGCACGTGTAAAGAAAGAAACTAGAAGGCCCAGGCAGGAGGATTGCTTGAGGCCGCGAGTTTGAGACCAGCCTGAGAAACATAGCAAGACCTCCCCTTCACAAAAATTTTAAAAGTTAGCTGAGTCTGTTGGTGCACACCCGTAGTCCCAGATACTCAGAAAGCTGGGTTGGGAGGATTGCTTGAGCCCAGGAGTTTGAGGCTGCAGTGAGCTAAGATCACGCCACTGTATGCCAGCGTGGGAGACAAAACAAGACTCTGTCCCCACCGCCCCCTCCAAAAAAAAGAAAGAAAAGAAAAAGAAATCAACTAACAGATTCAAGGTGTCATTGAGAGGAACTATGTGTGGAGTAGTCAGGCATATTTATGACTTGAGAAGGTATATTGGAAAAGTAGTTAAATTTGAATGAGATTTAGGGAGAGCAGTTTAATAAAGAATTGTGTTTAGCTGAATAGAACCTTAAAATGAGAACAATTTAATAGAGTTAAATTAAATTTCAAGATAAAAGTTTACATACTTTATGCAAGTACCTCAAACCTGGACAAAGTTGTAATGTCAGGAATTAGCCACAAACATTTCTTCTTTGATTGAAATTTAAGGTACTTTCAACACACTTGCTTCACTCTTAATATTTGATTCAAATTATGTTTTTCATAATTTTATATAATGCCAAATCAACTAAAGCAGATTTTACTCTTACAAATCATGTACACATATGTATAATAATGAGACTGCATGGAGTCCAGATAAAAATTACATTTTCTTATGCACTCACAAAATAAGGAGGTTTGATCCCTGTTTTGGAAATGTCCACCAAATAATACAATTTTCTCTGGGGACTTTAGAAATAGGCCAATCTAATGAAAAAGAAAAGACACATTGAAATGCAGAACATGTTCTTCTTGAAAATATTGATGTATTAAATATTTATGCAAACATATTAAATTGGCAAGTGTATGAAAACATTATTACATATTCATCACCTTCACATTTCATCTTTTTGAGAACTTCTTTCCTATAAAACTAAAATGGAAGACTAAAAGTTTTCCAAAGCCACATTTTTCGAATTAATAACATTAGATAGTTTTTCTTCAGTTTATATTAATTCACATAAATAACAAAATTAATGTTGGAACTGGAAAAGGCTAATAATTTATTCAAAATAGAAGCACTAAAGTGCTGTTTCATCATTAGCCTTTCTTCCTAAAACCTGAATTGGAGCTTCCTTTTATGAAAGATGCTCCCTTAGAGTGAATATTCACTTTGAAAAATAAATGAGCTCTTTTAGGTCATGGAGTTATTTACCAAACAACTGGCTTTGTAACTACTCCAAATGTCATAAGAGAATTAATGCATTTCCAAATTTCTAACTTCTCCCAGAGTGTAATAAATCTTTGTTGACTCTAAAATTTTATGATCTTTGGAAAGTGTCATTTAAATTAAAATTTAAATTGATTATACTATCCTCTAATTAAAGTCAGAAAGTTGAAATGATTTTATATATGCTCTAAAAGCACTCATGTTTAATATAATCTGATTTGTTATGGTGATATTGTGTTCTGCATTCAAAGCTTTTTCTACTTCCCTTTCCTGCTAAATTCTTTCCCCATTTCTTTCATCTTCTTCTTACCTCATTATTTATTTGATTGAAACATACTCATCACTATTTTATTCTTTTATCTTCCTATCTTTTCACCCCTCTGACCATTTTTCACCGGCTTGTCTTCCTTTCTCGCTTGCACCACTCTCCTTTTGTTCACCCTTGTTGATATTTTTTAATTTTATAATACTTTAGTTTTAATTTTTGTGGTTACATAGTACGTGTACATATTTATGAGGTACATGAGATGTTTTGATACAGGCATGCAATGAGTAATAATCACATCAGGGTAAATGGGGTATTCATCTCCTAAAGCATTTATCCTTTGTGTTACAAACAATATAATTATACTCTTTTATTTATTTTAAAATGCACAATTAAATTATTATTGACTGTAGTCATCCTGTTATGCTATCAAATACTAGGCCTTATTCATTCATTCTATTTTTTTGTACCCATTAACCATCCCCACTTCCCCCTCAGCTCTCCACTACCCTTTCCTGCCTCTGATAACTATCCTTCAGTCATTTACAACAACATGGATGAAACTGGAGGTCATTATGTTAAGTGAAATTAGCCAGGCACAAAAAGACAAACCTCTTTGATGTTTTAAAGATTGTTGTGTTAATTGTTTTTTCTCACTTTGAGTCCTCATGATCTCTGTTTTAATAGTTTGTTCACATTAACAACCCTGGGGTGGGGTAGCAAGTTCTTGGTGTTTACTCTACTTAATTTAACTTGGCTATTCCTATCTTACAGCCTGGTAAGAAAAATCCACATCGTGACACGGAAGAGATGGAGGAAGAAGAGAAAACAAAAGGTCAGAGATGTAGCCCTACATAGCTGATTTTAAAAGGAACTTAAAATTTTACTTTGGCTAAAATTGACCTCTCCTGTAATTTAATCCAAACCTCTATTGCTTGTGTGTGGCCAAGTTCAGTAGTCTTTGGAGTCTCACTTCTCTAATTATCCAAATGCATTTGTTGAAGCCCCATCCCCTGCCTCCTCCAAATCCCTTAATAGGTTTGATTCTGCTCACTGCTCATTGCTATTTTCATGGTGCCGCTGAATTCCGCTCTCCTTCTCTGTTTCTAGCCTTTTCAACATTGCTTTCTCCTCTCATCCCTGGCATGAAACACAGATGCTGGTTATTCAATCTCTAAAGCACTGTTCTTTTAAGAATAAACTTTTACTGAAGAATGGGGGATAAAAGATGGAGCGTAAGCTCAGAACAGCACAGGGAGAAAATGTACAAGTAAAACTAAGTTATTTAGTTTAGAGCTTCTTGGTCAGACCCTCCTTAGTCCTGCTTGCCAATTTGTGCTAGATTATTTTTTTCCTGGTGACTGTTTCCCGCACCTCTCCTCCCCATTCAGGGACCCCAAAGCATGTTCTTCAGTGACCAGGAAAATATTTTATATTCTTAATACTTCATTATGGAGAAAAATTTATTTCATTTTGTATAACCACTGTGTGTTAGTTTCCCATGGCTTCCTTAACAACTTACTACAAACTGGGTGGCTTAAAGCAACAGAAATTTATTTTTCTCAGTTTTGGAGGCCAGAAATCTGAAATCAAGGTGTCAGGAAGACCATGCTCTTTTCAGAGGCTCTAGAGAAGATTCATTTTTCTGCCTCCCTCCAGCTTCTTGTGGCTCCAGGCGTTCTTTGATTCTCCTTGGCTTGTGGCTGCATCACTGATTTCCGCTTCCGTGTTCATGTGGCTCTTCTTCCGCGTGTCTTCTCCTTTCTCTTACAAGGACACTTCGTTGCATTCAGGGCCCACTCAGGTAATTCAGGATGATCTCATGCCAAGACCCCTAATCTAATTACATCTACAAAGATCCCTTATCCAAGTAAGGTCACCTTCACGGGTTCTGGGAATTAGGATTTAGGCATATCTTTTGGGGAGCCATCATTCAATGCACGACATAATCTAAACAGACTCCAGTTTTCTCAGCTTTAACAGAGACAATCAATCAAATAAGTTTTTGATTTAATTTAAAAATAAAAACAGTATTTCTGTCTCTCAGAATAATTCTGCAGCCCAGTTCTTAGAGCAAATTACAGTTAGATTTAAAAGAATGCTTTTCTTCTCATTTTAAAGATTTCTCTTTAAAAATTGTTAAAATGACCTAACATTTTAAAAGACGGAAAAGTAATTGTAATATCAAAAACTTAACACAACTACATATTTATACAAATGCCTTTATAATCTTTGTGTATATGTGTGTATATATACATGTGAATGTATAAATACATACTTGTAATCATGATGTACTTAACAACTGCAGATTGTGTTTAATCTTAGCATATTAAATAAGTTTTTTCAATGTTTTAACGTATGTTTTAATTTACCACTTTTTAATTTTTTAATCTTAATGATTTAAGAAAGTATTAGTCATTGTAGAAAATACAAATAAACTAAAAGAAAAATGAATCACCTGAAATTCTTTTAAAAAAGAAAGCCAATCTGGAGACACATACATCTGTTTTGTTTTGTTTTGTTTTGTTTTTTGAGACGGAGTCTCGCTCTGTGGCCAGCCGGGAGTGCAGTGGAGCGATCTCAGCTAACTGCAGGCTCCCTCTCCTGGGTTCAAGTGATTCTCTTGCTTCAGCCTCTTGAGTAGCTGGTATTACAGGCATGCGGCCCCACACCCAGATAATTTTTGTATTTTTAGTAGAGACGGGGTTTCACCATGTTGGCCAGGATGGTCTCAATCTCCTGACCTTGTGATCCACCTGCCTCGGCCTCCCAAAGTACTGGGATTACAGGCGTGAGCCACTGCACCCAGCCTCTGTATTTTTTAATTTAATTATATCTTCATGTTTGTATGAATCTATATCTGTAGCTGTATCTACATTTATTTAGTTTTGGCTATAACCCCATTTCAGGAACTAGTTGACTAAAAAATAAACTTCTATTGTTTTTGAATTATTACATATTTTGTGGTCTTTTAAAAAGTACTGCAACCTCCTCTATGAATGAATACACTTGTTTTTATAAGTTTTGAAACATATTGTTGAATGACATTTCTCAAAGCCTAAGCACAGATGATAATCCCTACTGCTTCTTAACCAAGATTATAATGACAATCTTAGAATCAAATGTTATCAATTTTAATATTTATTAGAGAATGTCTGACAACACTTTCTAGAGATTCTCTTATTTTATCATGTTGCCAATTTTCCTAAAAAGTGTTAAGTGAGATTGTTAAGGCTACAATGGATGCAAATAATGTTAATACTATAATGAATGCAAAATTATTAATTTAACCATTCTTCCATCATTAAACCTTGTATATATTTCTAATTTTTTATTGTTATGTTTATACATATTGATTTCTCTGCAGCTAAATTATTCAGTTACATAAATTTCCCAGAAATGTGGGTATTCAGGGAAATTGTGGAAATAAATCTAGTCTTCATACAGATTGCAGTTTGCCTTTTATAAGGGTTATATGAAGACAGTTTCATCAGAGTATAAGAGTAAACCGGTTTTACCTCAAGTTCATTATCATTGTTGTATTTTGATATTAACATCAGTATTTTTAATATAAAAGTAATAGAATTCCACCATAAGATTAGTTTAATTGCATTGCTTCTGTCTCAGAATTGAAGTTTATATAAGTTCCTAAATAGCTTTAAACTCATTTAATGTAATTTATTTTTGTCTACTTATTTTTGGGAGGCTTAATTTGAATAAATTGTGTTTTTATTGCAGATAGATCGTCCCTCTGGTGATCTTTATCTATTTAAATTTCCTATGATTTGTTTTTACTCAATTTATTAGTCTATAAAGAATTTAGATTGATATAAGGTCAATTTCCACAGATTGCTAATTAATAATCTTTATTTATTAGTAGTCCTTCTCTGTTACTTTATGTTGCCTATGTCTAAAAAATTTTCTATAGTTTTGTTCAGGCATTTTCACTATGTTCTATTTATCATCACACTTATTTTTGTTCTAACAGCATGCTGTTTTGATTATCACTGTTTTAAAATGTGACTTGATATCTGGCAGAGTCGGCAGCCCCACCTCACAGTTATGCTATTAAACATTTAAAAAATAATATCTTTTTTTTTGCATTTTAAAAAGTTTTGTGAATTGGCAAGAAAATAATTAAGGACTATTTTAATGGGTAGTGTGCCAACCCCACAGAGCAACTTATGTGAGAGTACCTTTAAAATATATTAGTCAATAGTCAATATTTGCATTATAGAAGAATCAGAAAATATCCAAGGAGTATTTTCATACTAAAACAGGTGTTTTCAAATGGGAACTAAGAAATATGTGATTATTTATTGGTTAAGATAAAATGAAAATTAATATTACTGTACTATATTAGGGGCTTTTTTTGTTTTTAAATTCGAATATACAGGTATTTTGTAGGAATTTTGGCTTACTTGAAATATCACCGGATGTCAGGCTATCATCCCTGAAAATTGTATGGGTTTTATATTCTGCCATTCTTTTAACATAGGAGTCTAGCAACCTACAACAAAAGATAAAATATCTTACAAAGCTCAGGAGTTAAAGGGAAATGTTCTAATATTGCAAGAAGTCAGGAAATACAGCTTTGTTTTGGAGGAATGGAACTACATTTATATCTGGAAGTTAATTAGATATTGTGACTTATAACCAATATGATCTAATTCATAATGAAAGAATTTTGCAAAAAAAAAAAAAGATTTAAATTTTCATAGGATATTTTTTGTGTTGGCGATTTGCCTGTGTAGTTGATTTGCATGAAGCATGATTAATGATAATTAAGGAAATAGTTTTACCAGGTAGAAGGAGATGAAAAATTATCCTCATAAAATAACACTTCACAGGGTAAGCATTTCAACATTAAAAAATGATTCATTGCGATTTTGTGACATTAAACAACTATGTGAACTCGTAATAAGATAAACTTATTAGCCAGTGTTTGTTAATTTGATTTGTTTACCCCAGTCTTGAGTTTTCTAGGACAAAGGCTTAACGTTCCACTTCTTTCTACAAACTGCACAAGGTCATGAGGCAAATTACCAGATCAAGACAATTTGACAAGACAAATGCAAACATTATAAATCAGTTCATCTATGAGTAATTGAAGATGTGAAACTAAACATAGTAAAAATTCATGTTTGTTGTTGTTAAATTGCTAGATTACAATCTCAGTTTCTTTACTTTCAAAGGGTGAATGCTTTTGAGAAAATCAAATCCATTTTACAACTCACACATAATGTTTTATGTGGCTGACAGCATAAGTGTTTTTATAAGTCTCCCATATAGTCTAAAATATAAAAGCCTTGGGTCATGTGATATGAATAGTTAATATATGAGTTTATATTTAGAATACAAAAGATAGTATAATAAATGCTATTAACTCAAAATAATATTGCTAAAATTATAGAACTTATATATTGAATGAATGTATTATAAAGCTCATTTATTTCAACTTTGGTTCTTGACACATGTACAGTGGTTTAATACAGCCTTTATTTTGGCTGAGTGGCTATGGATTTTTTATAATTATAAGAAGAGAACTGTGGCATATTCAGTATTTTTACTTGTAATAAGGGTGGGCTTTATGGGCATGCCACCAATGTGGTTGCCCAGGAATCCACGCTCTGAAGGGACCCACACTTTAATGTTCTGCTATTACTTTCTTGAAATTCTTAATAATATTTTAATTAAAGAAACCTCCTTTTCATTTCGCATTGGGCTCCTAAAATTATATAGCTCATCCTGTCTGTAACCAAATACTATTTCTGAGACCCTCTTGTGTTACAGTTCCCTTTAAGCAAAAGACTACAGTCCTCTGATATTTGGGGGGTTTTCTTCTTGTTTTTTTTTTTTATGTATACTTTCTTTTCCTTAAAGTTCAAAAAGAGAACTCATTTAGGGGCATACTGGCATGTGTGAATTGTTTTATTTTTCTGATCACATGACTTTTGGTTTTAGGCTACAACTCTTGCACTTTTCTTCCTCTTAGAAAATGTATTAATAAGATAATGTTGTAAATGCTGTTGCAACTGCAAGCTGCATTACGTGGCCTCATATTTTCTTCCACTGACAAAAAAGTATGTATAACATAGTAAGTACTTTTATCTCCTTCACCTGGATTCAGTGATTATTAACATTTACACCATTTGCTTTGTCTCTCTCTCACACACATAGACACATTTTTCTTCGGATTCATTTGAAAGTAAATTACAAGTATTTTGACATTTCACTCCAAAATATTTCAGCTTGTATCTCCTAAGAAAATTCTCCTGCATGACCTCAGTGCCATCCAAAATATTTAAAATTGATAAAATATACCTAATATTATTTCAATTCAAATTTCTCCAATTGTCCCCAAATATTTTTTATTGATTTAAAAAACCTCTAGGATCCAACCCAGAATTATGCATTACCTTTGATTCACATGTCTCTAGTTTAATAAAAAATATCTATACTTGTGATTTTTCCTGAAGAGGATGTTAAGCTTGATGAAGGTAGGTATATTTTCTTTTTCTCCAATGTGGTGTGTGGAATTGAGGGAAAGACAAAAAAGAAAATTTTCTGTCTGCTCGTCTTGAGAAGCTATAAGCCTTGTATTATCTTCAAGGTAATAAGAACAGATTGTATAATAGCCCCAGTGTACTGAAATTTATTTTAAATGTGAGAAGTATATTCAATTAGGTTGTGTTTTAAACTAAGTGTGGCATCTGGAAATCAGAAATTATAAATTTGGAATATACACTTTGTCTTTAAATGAATGGTTCCTTCCCTTGAATATGACATGGGAAGGGTCCAGGAAAAGTAGAAGAGGGTCCAAGCCGCAGTGAATGATACCGCCATCCTTCCAGACTTCACTGGGTTTCTCTGAGCCAGCAGACACGGTGGTGATCACATTGCTTGGCATTTGCTGGGAGCTGAGCCCTCTTCTCTCTCCATGGTTTTGTCAAGCTGGCACCATAACTTTGCAAACGGTGAAATGAGAACACATAAGTGCTGTGTAAACAGCAGGGACTCCTGTTTTTCTTTCTTTATCATTCTGTCATCTGAAGTCTTTCTCTACCTCCTGTGCTTATGGAATTCTTCTTTGAGGAGAGGGAGGCGTGTGGAATGGGATTGGGTGCTCTACTATTGGAGATTTATAGATAGGTCTTATTTGCTTGGTTGTGAATCCATGAATTATTTTGGAAAGGCAGTGTCTTTCTCTTGATGACTCAGAGAAACATCAGTCAGGATCAATGGCTTCTTGATGATGTAGGCTTAATGAATCCAAATCATTGAACTGAAACTTTTCTTTTAAAATTTCAAGGCATATAAACTCATGAAATCAGTTTTGTTTCTTATCATTTGCCATGTGTTCTCAGCTATCACTGTACAACTTTACTGTCTGACTTAACTGATATGCTTTTGCAAAATAAGTAATTGAAACTAAGTCTGAGAAAACCTCATCCTAAATTCTTTTCTTGACTTTGATTAAATCATCATCCCTGTCTTTGTTACTTGATTTGCTAGGGGGCAGTACTAAAAATATTGCATAGGGACCTCAGGACTCTACAGGTCCCTCTTTTGCTTAGGGACCTCAGTACTGTACAGGCACTCTCACTCCACTTTTTAATCCTGTTGGGTTCATTTCAGGAGTACACATCACTATCTTAAGGATTTTCAAATTGCTGCTAAAAATGCCTTCTCTTTTTCTTGGTCCCTCCCTCTCTCCCTTCTTTCTTTCTCTCCTTCCTTCCTTTCTTAGTTCTATTTGGAACCTAAACTGAGTTAGACATTAGGCAATTGCAAAACATTGTTTTTTCTTATTTCAAAGTTTTAAACCTCTGTTCAGTTAAATATTAGGGTAAAACAGAACAGATCTATCAAAAATGAAAAATGGTCGCTATGAAGAAAGAGTGCAATCAGTAAGCTAATAAGGCAGCCTAGAGTGAAAGAATTTAGAACTGTTAGGGAAAAACAAAAACTAGATTAAAATATGTAGTTTCTGAAGACTTTCTCAAAAAAGTATTTTGTTCAATTAAGTTATTTTAAAATTTTCATAGCTTTTCATATTGTAGTCTCTTTTATAGATACATCTGACAAAACTTTTAAAACACTGAACTATTTTGGTTTCCAGTGCTGTGTAGTCCAGGTCAAGAATGGCAGTGGCTGGGTCCTGAATTTCTGGCTTGCTGGCTTGGTCCCAGCTACAGCTGAGGAGATCTATGTCCAGTAGTACCCCGGGGAAGAGGGCTCAGCTTACATGTGGAAGGGCCTCACCTATCTGTTGCACTTTCCTAGGGGAAAGTGAGCATGCTTAATACTTTCCTGAAGCAGCCCTGTGAAGAACTCTGAGATCCAGGAACATTACCTACCCTATCTCTGCATCAGATCTAGGCTCTTTCCCTGGTGAGACTGTAACCAAATTCTATTCCATAACCCTTATATGAATCTGCTTCTGATTGGCTGTAAAGGGGATAGCATTGATTTGGACCACGACTTTCTATATGGGCTAGAAAAGTATATGGGACCTTGTGCCCATTTTCTTTACTTGTATCAAGTGGTGACCAGTATACAGATGGTCCCCCACTTAGGATGGTTTGACTTAAAATCTTTTTACTTTCAAATGTATAATATTATGAAAGTGATACCATTAAGTAGAAACTGTGCTTTGAACATTCATACACTTATTCTGGTCTTTGTTTTCAGAACAGTATTCAATAAATTACATGATACAGCCAATACTTTATTATTAAATAGGCATCATATTAGATGATTTTGCTCTACTCTAGGCTAATGCAAGTGTTCCGAGCACATGTAAGGTAGGCCAGACTAGGCTATGTCTGGTAAGTCAGGTGTGTTACATGCATTTTTGACTTACAATATTTTCAATTTAGGATGAGTTTCTCAGGCCATAACCCCATTGTAAGTTAAGTAGTATCTGTACTGATCTTCCATCTCTTTGCTTGTGGCAAGAGATGGCATAAATAAATACATAAACTTAGATTGGTCATGAGGAAATAAAACAAAACAAACACCAGAGAATCAGGTAGTGGGACATGAACTCTATTCTCAGCTTGAATGACTCTAAGCATATTGTTCCTTCTTTGTGCCTTGTTTCTTTTGTTCAACTTCATGTCCATGAAATTCATTCATTTTCTTTTGTGTAGCAGTTACTTGCTTTTATTGTTATCTAATATTTTACTATATGAATAGACCACAGTTTCTATCCATGCTATGGTTGAGGGACATTTGGATTGTTTCCATTTTGAGGTTTCTATGAATACTTCTTCAATAAACATTCTTATATGTGTATTTTGGTGATCACCTGCATGCACACATGGCATGGAATTGCTGGGTCATAGGGTATATGAGTATTCAGCTCTAGGAGATGTTGTCAACAGTTTTCTGGAATACTTGCACTAATCTCAGTACATGCTATATGAAAGTTTAAATTATTTTTCATCCTTGCCAACACTTAGTACTGTTAGTCTCTTTAATTGTAGCCATTCTGTTGGATGGGTCTTGCTATCTCATTGACTCTTCAGTGTACCTCTCAAAGAGTTTTTATACAGACACACACACACACCCCCAAGATAAACATACAGAGCATTGACAGCATTCAAGAACACTCTCTTATATCTTCCTAGTCAGTATAGCCCTATCTCTTCCTAGTCAATATACCCCACCCAAGAAATAACAGCTATCCCAACTTCCATCAACATAAATTATTTTTGTCTGTTCTTGAATTGTATGTAAATGAAATGACAGTTTGTAGCCATTTGTGTCTCAATTCTTTTGCTTATTTTTATGTCTAGGATATTAATATGTGTTAAGATATGAACATTGCAAGCAAGTTTTATTTTATATTGCTGTGTAATATTCCCTTGATTGATATATTACATTTTATTTTTCCCCTCTTTTGATCATGGACACTTGCATTGTTCCAAATTTTGGCTATTGGGAATAAAGCAGCTATAAATATTCCTATGTGTGCCTTTAGTGGGTATAAACACTCATTTATGTTTACTGTTTTTCTAGGAAAAGGATTGCTGGTCATGGAATAGATAATATAAGTTTAGCTTTACTAGATATTGCCAAGCAGTTTCTCAAATGAGTTTTTCCAACTTAAGTATTTTTTCTATAACAGCAATTAATTTATTGAGAAAAGAGGACCAGGAAGATTTCAGTTTATTTTTAACATTTCATTCTTAATTTTATTTTATTTAAATTTACAAAATTGTATATACTTGTTGTATACAACATAATATTTTGAAATAGAAATACATTATGGAATGCTAAAAGGAGCTAATTAATATATGCATTACCTCAGTTATCATTTTTGTGGTAAGAATATTTAAAACCCATTCTCAGCATTTGTCAATACTAAAATTTGAAATTAGATCCTTATGTCATATTATATAAAAAAAAATCAGATTAGTAAATGTAAGACCCAAAACTATAATATAAAACTACCAGAAGAAAACGTAAGGGAAAAGCTCTGTGGCACTGATATGGGGAATGATTTTTGTGGCTATAACCCCCAAAGCACAGGCAACAAGTAAATGGGCAAATGGGATTACATTAAACTAAAATGCTTCTGAACAGCAAAGGAAATAATTAAAAAGTAAAGAGACAACCTATGGAATGAGAGAAATATTTGCAAACCGTATGTCTGATAAAAACTTAATATCCAAAATATATAAGGAATTCAACTTAATAGGAAAAAAACCCGAATAACTTGATTAAAAATTGGCAAAGTATTTGAATAGACATTTCTCAAAAGAAGACATACAAATAATCAACAGGTAGATTTATAAAAGGCTTTACCTTACTAATCATCAGGGAAATGCAAATTAAAACCACCATGAGATATCACCTACACCTATTAGAATGACTATTAACAAAAAAGGCATAAGATAACAAGTGTTGGGGAGGATGTGAAGAAAAGGTACACTGTTGGCGAGAATGGAAATTAGTACAGCCACTATAGAAAACAGCATGGAGATTCCTCAAAGAATTAAAAATAGAGCTACCATATGATGCAGCAATCCCAGTCCTGGGTATATACATCCAAAGGCAATAAAATCAGTATGTTAAAGAGGTAACTGCACTCACATGTTTATTGCATTATTCACAGTAACCAAGAAATTGAATCAACTTAAGTGTCTGTCAGTGGATGAATGGATAAAGAAAATGTGTTACACATACACAGTGGAATATTATTCAGCCATAATAAAGAAGGAAATTCTGTCATTTGTGACAACATGGATAAATCTGGAAGACATTATGTTAAGGGAAATAAGCTAGGCACAGGACAAATACCACGTGATGTCACTAACATGTGGAATCTAAAAATGTTGATCTCATAAAAGTAGAGAGTAGAAAAGTGGTGACCAGAGGCTGGAGTGGTAGTGGTTGTGGGCAGTTGGTGAGATGTTGGTCAAAGGATACAGAGTTTTAGATAGGAGGACTAACTTCAAGAGATCTATCATACAGCATGTTTTTCCAATTTAAACTCCCACCAGCAATGTGAGATAATTCCAGATCCTGGTCATCATTTTGTAGTTTGGTCTTTTTAGTTTTAATCATTCTGAAGGGTGGGTTGAGATTTGTCATTGCTTTTTAAATTTGCATTTCTCTGATGAAAAAATATATTGAGCATCTTTTCTTATGCTTCATATTAAGAGTTTCAATATCCTCTTTTGTGAAGTGCCTTTGAAATTCTTCTTTTCTTTTTTAATGTTTTTCTTTGTTATTGGTTTGTAGGAGTTCTTTATATTCAAGATATAAGTTCTTTATATTCAAGGCATAAATTCTTTATTGTATCTCTATATTGTCTGCATGTTTTCCCAGTGCAGTTTGCTTTTTCATTTGTGATCAAAAGAAAAACCACAGTATAAAAAAAAAAGATGCTCTGTTAGTTACCAGTATTTAAATATTAGGAGGATTTATAGAAAAATCTGGATTTTTAATTTCTTTTAAAGTAGTAGGAGGATCCTGCAACATTTTGCTTGAGATCTCATATACCTTAGGCTGCATGGTAGCTACTCCCATGAGATGCCTACTATGGTCCCTGTTGCTTCCTACACCAACCTACTTCACAGGTTCATAATACCAGCCCAGTTCTGTTGGTGCCTAGTGTGAGAGCCTGATCTAAGGTCTCCCTTTTTTAAATTTATGAGCTGTACCTACCAGAGTTTTTTGCCTGACAGGTTCAATAGTTTAAGGGACAACGAAGGTCCCTTTTGGATGATACATACTTAAGAATGCCAAATCTCTGACTACCAAGTAATAAAAACTTTAATGTAATTGAATGCATAGTTTTTACAATAATTCATTTTTTAAGTGGCAGGATATAAAGCATCATATCTGGGAGGAGAAGTTGAGACTTTAAATAGAGAAAGTGAGAATTTAATAATAGTGGAATTAGCTTAAATAGAGTTTAAATAGTAGAATCAGTGGAATTTGATTAGATGTTTCATAGGATGCAGATGTAAAAAGGCAAAAATATCATAACCTAAATTTCAGAATTTGTCCTATATATGTGTGTTCATATATATACATATATGTATATATACACACATATATATCCCCATATTGCTTTGGGTGTTGGAACCATAGAAGTGGACATAATAGAGAAATTCTCTGCTTTCATGGACTTGTAATTCAAAAATAATAAGTCAATACATAAATGTACAAGCAAATATTAAAATATACAGTAGTTTAAGCTGCTAAACAAGTTTTTATAGTAATCAAGACAGTATGATATTTGTGAAAGAATAGACAAATAGATCAATTGAATTGAATACAGCCCAGAAATAGCTCACACAAATGCAGTCAATTGATCTTGGACAAAAGAGGAAAGGCAGTTTAATGGAGAAAGTATAGTCTTTTCAACAAATGGTACTGGATCAACGTGAAAAAAATTGAAAAAGAATCTAGACACAGACTTTCCACATTTATAAAATTTAACTCAAAAAGGATAATAGACTTTGCCCTTTACTTTTAAGGGCAAAACCATAAGACCCTAGAAGAAAATACAGAGAAAAATCTAGTTGGCCTTGGGTCTGGTAATGACTTTTTAAATAGAGCACTGAAAACATGATTCAGGAAAGAGAAAATTGGTAAGTTGAACTCAAATTAAAAATATCTGCTCTGCAAAAGACACAGTTGAAAGAATGAAAAGATCAACCATGGACGTGGAGAAAATAATTGCAAAACATATCTGATAAAGGATTGGTATCTAAAATATAAGAACTCTTAAAAGTTAGCAACAGTGAAACAAACAACTTAATTAAAAATGGGCAAATGACATGAACAGATAATTCAGCAAAAAAGATATATAGATGGCAAATAAGCATATTGAGATGTTCAACATCATAAGTCATTAGGAAATTGTGAATTAAAACAACAGTGCAATGCTATTACATATCCATTTAAATTGTCAAAATCCAAAACACTGACAACAATAAATGTTGATGAGCACATGGAACAAAAGGAACTCTCATCCACTATTGGTGGGATTGAAATATGGCACAGTCACATTGGGAGACAATTTGGCAATATTTTACAAAACTAAACCTAAGATTCAGCAATTGTATTTCTTAGCATTTAGCCAAATAAGTTGAAAACTTATGTCCACACAAAAACTAGCATATGAATGTTTTATAGCAGCTCTATTCATAATTGCCATAACTTCAAAGTGACCAAAATATTAATCAGTAGGTAAATAGATAAACTGTGGTGCATTAGTTTCTTAGGGATGCTGTAACAAAGTATCACAAATTGGGTGCCTTAAACAACAGAAATTAATTGTAACACAATTCTGGAGGCTAGAAGTCTGAAATCAAGGTATTGGCAGGGTTGGTTCTTCTGAAGGATAATTTGTTCCTTGTCTCTTTCCTAACATCTGATGGTTTGCTAGCAATCTTCTGGCATTCTTTGGTTCATGGCATTGGCTCATGGCATAAGGACTACAATCTTCGCATGACATTCTCCTTGTGCCTCTGTCTCTGCATTCAAATCCTTCCCAAACCTTTTTTTTTTTTTTTTTTTGGATAATGACAAGAGTCATTTTGGATTAGGGTCCACCCCAATGACATCACTTCAACTTGATCATCTGCAAAAACCATATTTCCAAATAAGGTAGCATTCACAGGTGATAAGGACTTTGCCATTTTAGGTGGGGGGTGCAGAATTCAACCCCTAACATAGTGGAATATTATTCATTAACAAAAATTAAGGAGATAGTCAAGCCACTAAAAAGATACGGAAGAAACTTAAATGTCTGTTGCTGAATCAAAGAGGCCAGTGTGACAGAGCTAACTATTGTATGATTCCACCTACACAACATTCTTGAACAGGTAAAATTAAGGAAAGAGTAGAAAGATCAGTGGTTGCCAAGGATTCAGAGGGAGACAGGGAAGGATGAACAGATGGAGCACAGGGAATATTAGTGCTGTGAAACTATTCTGTATGATACTGTAATGGTTAATACGTGTTGTTATACATTTGTCAAAACCTGTAGACAAAGAGTGAACTCTAATGTAAACCATGAACTTTTGTTCATAATATTATATCAACATTGGGTCTTCAATTGTAACAATGTACTACATAAATGCAAGATGTTAATAATAGAAAAACCTGTCTGCTGGAGCAGTAAGGGGATATAGGATCTCTCTGTACTTTCTGTTCAATTTTTCTGCAAACCTAAAACTGCTCTAAAAAATAAAGTCTATTAATTTATTTAACAACAACAAAAAAAAGTTCCAGGTTCTAAGTAGCTCCATTAGCTTCACTGGTCAGAAGGAAGGGCCTCTCTGAAGAGACAACCTTTATATCTGACCTGAAGGACAAGAATATGTTTCCCTTGTGACATGCAGATAGGAGGATTTCTAGTAAAAAGAGAGCTGGAAAAGGGACTCTGCAGTGAAAAGCTGCATGTGCCTGAGGAACACTGTGAGGAGCACAGGGATTTCCCAGGGGAAGGCAGAAGAAGGAGGCAGACAGGGACTTGATAGAACAGGACTTTTAAAACAGAGTATAGTTTGGATTTTATTCTGAGTGTGATATGAAATCATTGGATGGCTAAATAGCGATGTACTAGGATATAATATATTAAAATAAATATCACTATGGCCTTTGGATATAAAGAATAAATTGTGTATGGGGGCAACACTGGAGGCAGGAAGACTGGTTAGGCAGATATTGCAATGGCCCAAGCAGAAGATAATACTGGTTTGGACTAAGGTGGAGGCAGGGGATATAGAGGTGTGGGGTGTATTTAAGATATGTTGATAAAGGTAATAGAAGAGAGGACTTCTCACTGTGTCAATCATCTATGACACAGCTATGAATCTGGAAATATATGGAAATATCAACTTGGTTGCAGGCTGAAGTCCATGCCCTTTGCCATTCACATCCTCTTCCATGGAATGAGGACTCATCAGATAAAATATTGTTTTAAATAAATGGACCTTGTGAAATTGCACATGATATTTGCTTTTCATAATGTTTGCTGTAATAGAATTTTACTCGTATCTAAAACTCATTTGGCATAGACATATTTCCAATTTTCTTTCACTTTTCACTGAAAATTTTTAATTACTGGAGTTGGAAAGAAAGTATCTCTTTTAGTAGAGAGAAAAGTTAATACAACTGAGCAACTTGATATCTTTAGCAACTATGTAAATAAATATACACATCTTTCTTTTATTTACATTTGGTGAGCCACATCTAAAATATATGCTAGCAAAACTGGGGAGCTGTGAAATATGACGACACCACACTGATAGATATCAGTCACAATCTGGCAAGGAAAAGAAGGGAGTTGCTTTCATTTTCTGTTTGTTTTTAGAATTATTCTTAAAACTAGATAAATGTGACAATTGTGCCAATTTTTTGCCTCAATATTTTAAGATGAATGGCAAAAATTAGAAAGAAAAGGACAATCTAATGCTTAAAATATGGCAAATGAACAAATTCTGTATTATCCATTTCTAAAGGAAAAGTATTTCGAAATTTAAAAATTTTTAAGAAATTCAGCAAAATTACAGTAGTCTTTGAAACATTACTATAAAAAGTAGATTATTTTGTTTCCTCTGGGAAAAACTCAAATAGACACAGGATAATGGTCTAATGAACAAGAATGTCAGGATAGCTAACAAGTACTTTGAATAAGATATAAAACAGAATAGTGTGTTTGAATTTTATATTTTGATTACTCTTATCCATCCTTCCATTTTATAAAAATATGGCTGATTCGTAAAAATAATTAAGCAGTATTAGGAAGTATATTTGCTCAATGAAGAAGACATAGTACCCTTGGGCTGTTATTTACAGAAATGACATCATTCATCTTTCTAATCCATTCTAAGTTGCTTATGCGTTGGTCCTCAATGCTGTTTGCTACCTACATTTATTTATCCAGAGTGAAATAGTAACTATCAACTGAGCCACACTATCTTCTTCAAAAATTCCACTTTATTCATTTTTTGGTCAATATTTCACCTATTTTTGAAGTTTTACTATTTGCAAATACATTGTTTTCTTTGTATAAAATACATCTAATGTCTATACACTAGTAATATTACTTGTTCTCAGCTTCAGGAAACACTTTACAGCTGTAAGTTGAACAAACACTACGTTGTTAAACATGCCATTGTTGTGGTGTTAAATACATCAATAGAAAGGAGAAGATGGATCTGTTGCATCTGCTGCCACTGCTCTATAAATTTATTTTTATTTCAAAAGTTCTTACCAACAATTTATTTAAAATAAACAATTCCTGAGATTTACATTGCACTATCCCAGTTTCAGTAATTTTTATTCTGAAGGTTTGCAAGGAATTGGCATTTTTCCCTTATATACTCAGAAGCTTTGCAAACACTTTAAAAGACTATATAAAACCTTTAAAATGAGAAGTACATCTATGTATTTTTTAAATAAAATATTAAGGATATTAAGCCATTGTAATGATGTAAACAAAAAGTCAAGCTTTTATTGGGTAGTTACAAAAGTTATAATTAGATTCTTTTTTGTTCCTTTTTTGCTTAAGAATTTTATGAGTTGCCTGAATAGGAAAAATTAAATTAACAGTTTTTTTTTCCTTTTAACCTGTTTCTGCTTTTGTGTCAATGTCAACCGGGATGCGAATGGGGCATTGTGGGAGACAGGAGAGGACAATACTGGGGAGAATTAGCGCATTGGCGGTAGCCTTTCAATTCCAGCGCTGAAGCAACAGACTGAGAGGAGGTGAACCTTTACCTTCTCCCAGGCACAGACAAGGCGAGGTGAGGCAGAGATGGATTGCAGAACCGCATTAAGCAACCGCGGGGTGGAGGAGAGTGCAGGGTGTCTCCAAACCCTGGGAGGGCTATCTTCTCCTTTCAGAGCACATTTCTGCCCAGGTCTTTTTATTCTCAGTGCAGCTCGCTCCCTGGTGGCTTAAATTACGGTAAACGAAATAAGGTCCGTTAAAAACCACTTCTGAGAGGGGTGATTATTGGGGGTTTTGAAAGCACAGAGGTCTTATAGAGACCAAAAATATGTGCCTCGCTAAGATACAGAAAGGCTTGTAAGTGAATCTTCATAACTCTGGGTACGTGCATGTATATGCACATATACGTATGCATGTCTCGTTTCTATACCTTATATAAGTTTTCTGCCCAAAACTTTCCTCGTCCGTGCGTTCCCTACCACGGCGCATCTAATCTGTCTGCCCTATTTGTGGCTGCACAGCTCATTCTTGCAACCGGCTGGGGAGCTGTTGCTTCTGCCAACGCCGCCGTCAGCCAGAGCGCTGAAGAAAAGCTGAAGGCCAGCAGGCAACGAAAGAGTAAAGAAAACGCCCTCCTCCTGCCCATCTCCTCCACCACAGCCTCCCCAGTCCTCCCAGGTGACTCCCAAACAGTAGAAAGTTGGCTCAGAGATAGGGCAGAAGAACCGGGGGGCTGGGCGGCTGAGGCCGGGAGGTGGGAGAGGCGGGTCCTGCAGCCCCGAGAGCCCCCCGCGGCTGCAGCGGCAGCTGTCACCTCCTGGCCTCGCCCCACAGCACACCTGAGCCTCCTGGGCAGCCCCGAGCCCACAGCTCCCAGCAGAGGCGCTAACTGCCCTCCTCAAGCACAGGTCGCCGCGTCCCCAACTCCCTGTCCTCACCCCGGCCCGCCCGTCTCCTCCTCCGCCCTCTCCCGACTGCAGCGGGGGCAGCGCTTTGGCGCTCCCAAGGACTCCCCGCCACTCTCCCCACAAAGCAGCGGCGGTGGCGGCGGCTGCTGCTGGATCTTCACACTGCAGCCAGCAGCCCAGGACGCCCCCGGCCGGACGATGGGTACCCGCGCCTGAGCATCCCCCGGGCAGGCGCCAGGCGCGAAGGCAGGGGGCGGGAGGAAAGGGGCGGGGGAATTCCTGATTCCCTGGTGGACCCTGGAAGTTGTCCTTAAATAAATATATCGCTGGCCCGCGGTTGAGCAGCCACCTCGTCAGAGCAGCATGTGGACTGGCTCGCCGGGTCCCCTCCGTGCTCTGTGCTGTCGCCGCCGCCGCCTCTGTCAGAGCAGCAGCTGTCGGCAGCAGGAGCCCCGCACGGGGCGCGGAGCAGGGACGCGCTGCCACCGCCTCCCCCTGCGTCCTGCTGGCCGCGTCTTCTCGGGAGGTGGTAGTCGCTGTTGCCGCTGAGAAACCCGCCCGCTTTCCACGGCTGGTCGCCTGGTGAGGAGTTGAGACTCTGCGCCTCCGCCCGGACCCACATGGCTTGTTACCTGGTCATCAGTTCGAGACATCTCAGCAATGGGCACTACCGGGGCATTAAAGGAGTCTTCAGGGGACCCCTGTGCAAGAACGGATCTCCCTCTCCGGTAATGTGCGCGCGCACACACATACATACACAAACGTTCCAACTCAACACAAACAAAAAGATATTGAGAGATAGTATCCTGATACAATGAGTAGGTGGTGGACATCTAAAACGTATACCTTATCCATAGGTATGGAGATACATCGTGTCCGTTTATACAATTTATTGACAGACTGTGACACAGAGAGGGGTGTGTATTTACATGTGTATTTTCAATTCAGTCAGTAGGATCTATAGTGCTACGGATGTAAATACTTACTGAATGCAGTCAACTGCAGGGCTCAGAAGGTAGCTCCTCTGTGCTATGTCAACTTACGAATCTGCTGATTTGAGCAGTGTAGAAAGTTTGAGTGGCACGTTATAATGTGCTTTTGTAAAGTCATCAGTTGAGATTAGTTTAATAATGCTACTGTTACTTTGTGAGAAAAACTCAAAGATTTTCCCTCAAATCATTGGCAAAAGGAAAGTTATAGGTAGTGAAAACTTGATTATATCTAATGCTCAACTATGCACATTCTTTAAGGGGAAGTAAGAGAATTCTTTATGGAAATCTGAGTTGGATAATTTATTGTATAATATACAAATATATTAACATGCAATTAACGTGATTGCTTTTTAACTTAGTAAACTATTCAATTTAGTTACTATTCAGTTTATTCACATTCTTTTTATAAAATAATTTCATCCAGATTATATGAGTTAAATACATTATTAATTCATTTCTTGGTACATGCTATTATGTTTTAAGGCTCCAAATATGTTTCAAGAAAATGTGTGTGAATGTGTATGTGTGTGTAATTTATATATATATATAATAAATATATATATAATAAATATATATATAATAAATATATATATATATTAGTTTTGGACTACTAGTGACTAAGTATCCAAACTTAAAGACCAACTTTTGAGGTTTCATATAAAAAACAGTATTTAAGTCTGTATGATATCAAGAGGGAAAACTGAAATTGCCCAACTTTAATTTTTTTATGTTTGATATTTTCCATCATGGTTTAATGCTTCTTTAGCATGAATTATTCAAAACTGCAACATATTATAAAAGCCTTTGATTATTAATAAATGCTATATGTAATTTACATGAGAAATCTAAGATCAGAAAGTACAGGTGCCCAGAGATATCACTAGGATTCCTCATGACAAACTATTCCTTCACATGCTTTTATGTACTATAAAAAGTGGGTTGTTGCAACTGCTCCCCCCAACAACTGTATACAGTACTGAGTCAGAACTGTTAGATGGAAAATACTGTTTGTATAAGTACTTAACAATTAAACTCACAGGGTTAGCAGGCACTTGCAGAGTTCTAGTTTAATAAAGCCCACATTCAGTCCCTCTAAGTAGCAGGTCTGAATCTTTCCCATTTCTAAAGATTCTCAGAATTGGAGTTCCTGCAGTCTCAGCAAACCACTTTAATGTTTAACAACTCACAGTGCCAGGAGAATCTTTCTTACAGCCAACTTAAATCCTTTAAATTCTTCTTTAAGTCTATTTCATCTAGAAAACATACAATGTTCTGCCTTTCTCACAGGTATTATTTTTCAACGCTTTGGTAATCTCCGTGCCTGTCTCCCTTGCCCTCCTTTTGGTTATGGAAAACTAAATTGGGTAGGGCATTGTACTGTTTGTGCCTTAAGACTTCTCAGTATAAAGGGAGAATTGCTTCATAATCTTACACGGTTTAGTTCTATTCAAGTTGGTTAGACTATGGTGTTCATCTTCCCAAATCTGTAGGGCTTGCAGAAGAATTTCTGTTACATGGTCAAAAAGTGTCCTTTCTCTCCCACTTTGGTCAGTCATCTCCCAAGAGCCTGACTGACACTATAGAGACTGGATGTGTGAATGTGGATGGGAGAAGACAGCCCATTGACCACATGGCTGTGCTGGTTGACCAGGGTTCACCAGGTACTCCCCACCCTCAGGGCACTATTTTTATTCACTGCTGGGCTGGTTTTTACTAAAGTACAAATTAATTTACTTTGTTATCTAGGATCTACACTTTGACTCACTGGAAGGTTCTCTCCAATATTTATTTACACATTTGGATGTACTTAAATTACATATGCATCATTTAAAAATATCTAAATTAAATGATATATGTACTTTCTCAACACTATTTGATTTACTTGGTCTTCTTTTACATTTTATTATGGAATTTGCATGGCTTTTTCAATATTTGAATAGTTTCTCATGTGAGCTGGGCACTGTATGAAAATTTGTGTTTATTCATTCTCTATCATTGGCAGGTGGTTGAGATGAGTCTTCCAACAAGTTGAGGTCCTCTTCCCATTACATAACACTTAGCCTTTCTCCCTAAGGTGAAGTGGATCACTACCTTCTGGACCTTAGACCCTTACACACTTGAAAACTTTCCTAATCTAGATAAATGTGTGTTTGCCTTCCTTACTAATTAATTGCAAAATATGAAACTGTAAACTGTGGTTATAGATCTTTTTTTAATTCAGCAATACACATTCCCCAGTTATTTTCAGGTTGACATAACTTTATTGATTTTTTTCCTTTAGTATAAATGTTAAACTCAGAGATCCATAAAATACATTCATCTATTTCCTTAAAAAAACATAGCTACTCTGACTTTTTTTTTTTTTCAAATTTAGTGCCAGGAATGACCTAAAATTGACCTTTACATCAATGACTTTAATTATTTCCACTCACTGAAACTCAGTTTATTTAGTATAGAGATATTCTTAGTTGACTTAACTAACTTTCACTAAGATTTCCAATACTTCAACTTTGGTCTTTGCCCTTTTTATCCAAGTGTCTCTCCTATTACTTTTGCTCCACATTTTTCTGTTTTATTAGAACTGTTTGCATGTAGAACATGGTCTTAATATTCAATAAAACAATTATTGGTTAAGACTACTTTCTACCTCTGCTACAGAAAGGAGAAAGCTACAATCCCTTTTTGACATAATAAGGATTTCTTCTTTTGTAGTTCTGATATTATGGATATCTGATATCTGGATATTATGGATAAAACATTTCACTTTCCTATAGACATAATTCTTCAATTATATAGGTAAAGTAGTTGTGTACATTTATGTTCAAATCACATGTCTGTAAAATCCAAACATGCAATTTTAAGCTAAAAGTAAAAAAGAATGATTATATTTATTTCAAAGGATTTAATTTAGAAAACATGTTGAATCATTATATGGAATTGTTGTAATAAATTCTTAATGAGTTATTTGAGAAATAAAGCATTTTACCCCCAAACAGTTTTTGCAGATCAGTAAACTGAAAATCCCAGAGTGAAATTCAGCTTCTATCTTCAAAGTGAAAACATGGTAATGTCTTTTATCTATTGCATCTTTCTTCTTTTTAGAGACTGTGTGTGAAAAAATAGCATACTGCTTTTTAAACCTAATTAAAATGGGAATAATTGAGTAGAGATAGTTTATACTACTTTAAATCCAGGGACATATTAAAGAAAGTAAAAAAAAAAAAGAAAAATGAGAGAGGATTTTATGGTGCTTAATGATAAAAGTCTCTATTTTTAGAAACTGTGCATTTTCTAAATTCTACCACAATTTATACCTATCCCCGACTCTATCTAAACTCTAAAATAATATGACTACATGATGACTTTAAAAATCATTATGAGATACACATATATACATTATAGACAGAAAAATAGATAGATAGATAGATAGATAGATACACATTGCTATCTGTGCTCAAGCCAAAGAAGTTTTTTATATATTATGTTATATAGTCTTCTACCATCAAATATATTAATGGTAAAACTTTGTTTTAATAATTGGGAGCACTTAGGGGACCCAGCAAGCCAGTCCACATGGGCTGCTCTGAAAAGTTGGCTGCTCAATTTAATAATTAAATTTAATAACTTAATCAGTAATTAAGCTATTCATTGAGAACATAGTCTATAGATTAATTCAGTGTTCATGAACTTCTAAGTTCTATCACCATGTTTGAATTCAATAAAACAAATAGCTTCTATGTAATAAGAAAAATATATTTGACTTGACTTTTAGTTATGTGATCTGAAATAGCATCTCAAGTTTATATTCGAATGTAGTGCCGTTAATAGTGAGACTATCATTCGGGATACCTATTGATTACATGTTAATAATAATGGTAGATATATATTTTATCTGTGGTACATATTTAGCTTATTATTACTCTTTTGAAGTTTAGATAAGGTTATATTTCTTAAGAAGTGCTTATTCCTGGGAGCACCATAGTTAGACATCCTGGAATATCTTTTTCTGGGAATGCCTATTGTCTTAATGCATTGGGTATAAAGGAAATTTTGGGGATTGTCATCAAAGTGAAAAATCAGGGTCGCTGAATGTTTTATGTTATCTTATCTTAAGTTGTATAGCTGATTAAATTGGCTAATAGGAGGATGTGGAATATAAACAAACAAGCATTTTAAATGGACCAACAATCTGCTACAGAATTCTCTTGATAAATTACAAATGTATATCTATAAATGAAAGAAGTTCTAGAAGAGATGAACTACCTTGAAGATACATCCATCCATCCAGAGAACTTCTTAAATGAGGAAATGAGTGCAGTTAAACCCTTGTCCTTTTTTTCTAATGCCTATAATATCTGACTGTGTATATTTTCATTATGCCTAATAAATACACATTAAAGACTTTCAAAATTGCTCTTAAAGTGATGCACTTTTCAAGTGCAAAATATAATTATGAAGACATGCCCTCCTGTAGAGAAGTCACCTGCATCCTCTTCTTGAATTCATGAATGCATAATACTACCTTTCATGTTGGAATTTTCAGACGTTTTCAATAAAGACGACTTAGTTACAATTCTTATAATACATGTTCTCTTTTTTATGTCAAGTATCATATAAAGCAACCTCCTTTCTTGTAATTGCCTTTACAGCCATTTCTTCTTTCCCCTAACTGATTTCAATAACTTTTTAGTTAGCACCTATGCTAGTTGGTACCTTCCAGAACCTAAACAAATTTGTGTTTATTTGACTTCAGAAAGTTTCCATATTAAGAAGACTTAAATAGGTATTTGAGCGCTATAATTTTGGCTTTTATTAGATTACACTACATTTATTTCATAATTGAAATTAGAGGGCTCATATACCTTGATTAGTTTCTTTTAGATATATGACTAAAATGAACTCTCTGTTTTAGGTTTCTGCTCCATAATTTGGAACTAAAATAAAAATGAAACATTTTGGTATCATGGGTAGGCTAAATGTGCATGACATTTAACATAGAACTTAACTATTTGTGACTTAAAAGAAAACATAATGTTAGTTGTAACTGTGAAATTTTTGCTGTATAAAGTGTATGCACTAAAATACGTATTTTTATGTGTTAAGTAATAACAGAGCTTGAAATGCCAGTTGGTTTTAGGCTGTGTTGGAAGCAGACAGCAAGAACAATAATATATATCTCAAATAACTATCAAGTGCCTTTCAGTGTGAAGTTGATTTTTTCAAGATACACATTGTCATAATTCTTTGGTATATATGAACATATTTTGTATAAAATAATTTGAATAAAAATTGAAATAAAAATGCTACTTTGCTTGAAAATGCCTTTGGGTTATAACAAATGTAGTTTTTCATAAAAATTCAAGTAGCCCTTATAAAATGACAGCTGAAAAAGCCTTTTGTAGATTGATTTCACAAATCAGGTTTACTTAGAGAATAAGATCTGGAGAGAGAAATTAAATATTTGATATGTTTTCAAGAAAAAGTGTAGTTATAGTGATAATAGTGATATACCAATTTCCAAGTTACGTAGTCTCTCTTGTTTTGGAAGTACTAAACTTGGAAGGAAATTCTGGAAAAATAAATTACTTTCTACCTTAGACAGCATTTTCAGTTGTAGCTAAGACACTCTAAACTTAATTGAAGATAAAAAAACACAAAAGAGTATTATGGTGTTTAAATTGGAGCAGGACCTGTAATCCCAGCACTTTGGGAGGCTGAGGTGTGAGGATCCCTTGAAGCCAGAGCTTGAAGCCAGGTGTTCTAGACCAGGTTGGGCAACAAAGCAAGACCACATTTCTATAAAAGAAAAAAATCAGCTGGGCTCAGTGGCTCATACCTATAGTCGTAGCCACTTGGAAGGCTGAGGAAGGAGGACAGCTTGAGCCCAGGAGCTGGAGGCTGCAGTGAACCATAATAAGGCCACTTCACTGCAGCCCCCAGGCAACAAAGGGAAACCTTGTCTCAAAAATAAATAAATAAAACATAAAAGGGGGTTTTGATTTGCTTTTTAAAATATTCGCTAATGATATTAATTTTCCTGAGATGACACTCAGATAACATGTATTCAACTAATCTCTTATTTTGTTCAAATTTGATATCTAAATTCTAAACATATACTTCTGAAGAACTGATAATATATTTTTCTCTTCACAGAAAAGGATAACCATATAGTTGAATCATTTTCTTTTCTTCTTTGGCTGGGAGGAAGAGACAAATCTGTGGCTTAGCAAAGGGATAGGAATTGATGTTGGCCTTAAAAGCAACATGATATACCCTTCTCTGCTCATCTCCTGTTCCTAGTCCAGCTCTGATTCTATTTCCAATGACTCTCGTTATTTTTACATTTATATTTTGCTGTTTTAATGTACAAAGTTTCTTTCACATGACTTAGATCTGTTGTGAAAACAAGTTGGGTTGTAAATCAATAATAAAATATTGAATGTCCAAATTAAGGATGCTACTCAGGATTTTGTACTGGACAGCAATGAGAATGATTCATAGAGATTATTCAGTTTGTTCATTTCTAGCAAGTATAATTAGGACTGCCAGTTTTCTTTTTTTCTTTGACAATTGGCAATTTCCTTTTGGCAAATTTTATTTCACTTTTGTGTGGGTGTAAGAGGCAGAATATAGCTTATTTTGAAATGGATATTGCCAGTTTTTTCTTTTCTTAAACAATCTTCTTCCTCTCTATTCTTCTTGCCATCAGTCCTTATTCATTTCATTCACATAATTATCAAGTTTTTCAGCATCTTTTTTTGGTTCACACATAAATGTTGGCATATACTTCTAACTCCAGAGATACTAGCCCTCGCAAATGGTAAGAACTACTCTATTCTGTGCGCTCTTTCACCCAACCTTACAAGTTTCTCCCCTGTTCACCATCCACACGTAACTTTCATCTTTAGTTCAGAATTTACAGCTTTCCCCATATCTCCATTCAGAACCCACCTACCAGTGTTCTTCCCCTGCCCTTCTTCCCACAGCTATTACTCAGCACTTCACTTGTCCTGTGTACTTCTCAGCACCAGACAAATACAGTCAGCTTCCCCTCTTTCCACTCACATATGTCCCTTCCAGTTCTTTATTTTGCTGTGAATAATTATGTTCTCTAACGTCTTCCTTGGCAAGCAAAGGCTATATGCATTTTCTTTTTGTGAATGAAATAAATGCCATATTCCAAACAAAAATGGCCATGGGGCCTCTTTTTTTAAATGACAGGGAGGATAGAGGCATGCCTTAAATTAGACTTGTCCTATTCATTTGCTTCATCTGATATGAAAGGAAGAGGCATGGAGGTGGCCATATTACTTGCATTCACATTCTCTAAAAACGTTCAAAATCCTTGAATAATATTTTAAGTGTAGGTGCATGATCCAGCCTTCACCTACATTTTCAGCTTTCACTGTGTATCCGTCCACATGATTCTACTATTGTCCACTTATACTGAAGAGTTCTTGACTATGACATGTTCGCAGATGTTTCTGCCATTGCAGACGCTGTTCCCTCTACCCCAAAAATTTTTTACCCTTCATTTGTTGGGCCATATCTTGTATATTCTTACAGACTTAACTAAGGAGTTCAGTCCTGCATTTCCTTTCACAGGTCAAGTGCATCTCTTATAGCCTGCCATTACATCCATCAATTGCCATCACATCCATTGAAATCCTTGGGGTAAGTCTGCTGTCATCCTTATGTCTGCAAATATTCTGCCTTATTTTACTCAATAAATATCTGTAGAATGAATGAACGGAGGTGTGAATAAAAATGAATGATGAACAATATATTATTAGATTCTTCATCATTCAGGACATTCCCACTGATACATTTGACAATAGTGTAGCTGGTATGAGGAATATTGGAAATTTCCACCTAGTCATTGACTTCAATGTTTAGCTTATGATTTAAAAACCACTTAAACTTAATGAATTACTGTGAATACCTCTTCTGCAATTTCACTGCAAGAAGCCTCCAGAAAATTGGGGCTAGCTCTACAGTTTAGCTATATATTTATATTGAAATTAGTGAAATTTAAGGAAATCTTAAGTACATATTTAGGCATTAAGAACATTAACTCACAAATATTTGGCTAGGCGCAGTGGCTCACGCCTTTAATCCTAGCACTTTGGGAGGCCCAGGTGGGCAGATTGCCTGGGCTCAGGAGTTTGAGATCAACCTGGGCAAGATGGCAAAACCCATCTCTACTAAAAATACAAAAAGTTAGCTCGGCATGGTGGCACGAGCCTGTAATTCCAGCTACTCAGGAGGCTGAGGCCGGAGAATCGCTTGAAACTGGGAGGCAGAAGTTGCCATGAGCCGAGATAGCACCACTGCACTCCAGCCTGGGTGGCAGAGTGAGACTCTGTCTCAGAAAACAAACAAACAAAACTTACAAATACTGATTTTTATGTGTTCAGTTTCTATGATATATTATACCTAAATGTATTTCTCTCTTTGGGTATTACTTCTGGCCACTGATAGAGGGACAATATTACATGAGGATCAAAAATGAAGGCCCTGGAGTTAAACCTCCTATTTTCGAATTCTAGTTTTGCCATTGACTAGTAATTTTATAACTTCTCTTAACTTCAGTTTTAACTTCTTCACAGTGGGAAACAATGGTTCCTAATATGGTGTTTTGAGCCTAGTGCTTGACATTCATTGAGTGTTCAGTAAACATTAACAGTGATTATTACTCAGATTGTGTGTGTTGATATGTGTGCATGCGTATATACACCTGATGTTGTAGTGGGGGAAAACTTCCAACAAGTTTTATCAAACTCCAATTGGGATAATTATCCTTGTCTTAGTTAATTTAATGATTTCAATAGAAAATAAATAGATTTCAATGGAAATTTAATTAGTATAAATATGTTCCCTTTTGTCCTGGTGGTAGGTCCACAAAGAAGATTTTTCCATAGAGAATTTTTTCCCCAGTTATAATTTTTTAGAATGCAGACTATTCTACTGATGGATTAAGTGGTCACTGTTTTCATGGCAATTTTTATCACTTTAAGATCTACCAAGATCATTTGGTCAATTGCTTTAGGTATAATTTAGTGTCACTTATCAATCCAAATTGCAGAGTGCTTTATTCTATGTAGCATTTCAGAACATCTTTTGCTGAAGGCCACAAGAAACTGAAGACTGGTATATATAAATTGGTGTAATTTGTACATGAGTTAGTTAAGCCGTATTTTTTCATTGGTGGCATATTTAACAGCTTCTGATAAATGAATTACAAGTTAGGAACTTGATCATTTCTTTCCTATTTAGGAGTTTATAGGAGGTACATAAGAAGAAGGAAAAATAGTGTTTTGTAATCTTTTTCTTTTTTTTGAAAGAGAGACAATAATTCCCTGACCAACGACCACTGCAGCCTTTGAGATAGCAACATCCTGGAAAAGCCACAGTGTGGTTGTATCATAATTGTTAAGAATCTCCAATTGCCTGAGTTTATCAGTCACATACTTTTCAGCAAGGTTTTGTTAGCAATTGTCCCTTCTCAGGCCAGTTAGGATGGGACCACAGTATGTAAGAGAAGCTTGGTCTTCTTCTAAATAATAAATTTTATCTAAAATATTTAGTCATCTAGGGTAGACATACAGAAAGAAAGTAATACTCTTAGGAGTGAAGAGAATCTGTTTATTTTTATGGTCAGTTTCTTAATCCAAATAAACTTTTTATCAGTTGTTAATAGATAGTTAAATTCTTTGCCTTATTTATAGAATATAAACATTGGAAAGACCCTTAGCAATCTAGATTCTTTTACCAATCTATATACTTAAATATATCACTATGGTAGGCAGATTAATGATATCCCCAAAGATGTTTATATTTGAGTCCCCAAAACCTACAAATCCAATATCTTACATGACAAAAGGGACTTTCCGGTTATGATTGAATTAAAGAGGATGAGATGATTATCCTGGATCACACAGTGGGGTCCAACTTAATCACAAGGGTCATAAGAGGGAGGCATGAATGTCAGAGAGAAAGCTTTGAGGATGCTATGCTTCTAGGTCTGAAGTTAGAGGAAGAAGTCACAAGCCAGGGAATGCAAGTGACTTCTTGAATCTGGAAAGGGCAAGTAAATGGATTCTCCCATAGAGGCTCAAGAAAAATCACAGCCTTACTAACATGTTGATTTGTGCCCAGTGGAGCTTCTGACCTAGAGGACTATAAGATAATAAATTGATGTTGCATTAAGCCAGTAAGACTGTTAATTCAACCTCACTCAACCTTAACATGGATGAATATTTCCAATGGTGTGGGAGCTCTCTGCTTATCAAGGTGATTTCTTCTCCTGTGAGATGAGTGAATTAATGCCAGTCTCCTGTCTCTGCGCAAATGTCCCTTCCTCCTTCTTTCTTTTACTCACTGGACTTCAGTATGCCTTTTTGAAGCAAGAGTGTAGGGAAACAAGAAGAGCTCTCTGTTCAACATAATATCCCTTTAAATATTCAGAGACAGCTGGTAAATTTCATTGTTAAGACATAAAAGGGACTGAAACATTTGTGAGAACAAAGAACATCCTATGCAATGTATATCACTTGCATTATTTCCTTATAAGTTGAAATTTATGCAATTCGAAATGCTTTACTACACATTTTAATGTAGTGCAGGTTTGAAATATAACATACTGATAGTTCTTATATTCTTGATAAGGTGGTAAACTCAGTACAACACTATCATATATTAAAAATACTGTTCACATTTTTAAATATTGCCTACTTTACCCAGATGTTTCCCTGTCATACCATCTACATCCTGTATCCAGAGGGTAAACAGAAAAATCAAATCATTTTAAGGGGATATTTTAAGGCTTTCTCTTTTGGTTTTTTACTCTTCTGCTTACAGATTTGTGAATTCCTAGGGAAAAAAGCATTAGTTTTAAATAAAATGTGATGTATGAATTGAAGTAATAGCTATAATTTCATAAAATAAAAAAATTCTATTCTAGACATAGTGGCATATAAATGGAAACTTATTTTTAATTTTTGTATTAAAGAATAAAATAATATATAAATTATCACTAATCATATGTGTACAGCTTTTTGATGCCACGAATGTGAACAGAGAACAGTATAGGCCCTGGAAGTTTTATTTTAAAAATTAATATTAAAAGGAATTTTAGTAAAGAACACACAGATTTGCAGCTCAATTGACAGCAAACTATTGAAATAAAGCCCTCATTTCTGGGTGTGGATAGGTAACTGCACAACGTCTCTGTTGCTTCACTTTTCTGTTTCACTTTGACTGGCCAAAGCAAACTTACTAACCACTTGAAACAATTAAATAAGAGAATACTGATTAGGCACAAATGAATGGATTTATGCTAATAAAACATATATATTATATGAAGAGTGACATCTGTGAAGGATTTCATTATCTTTTCCTTAATATTACATGCCAATTTTCAAAGATCTGATCATCATGTAGATTTAGAACTGTTTTGCAAGTGGTTAGGAATGGCCCTCTGTTGAGTTTTCATTACTTGAGAGGAGATATGAATTATGTATTTAATGGCAAGACAGCAATAAATGATTAAAGGAAAGAAACCTGTAGCTTGGACTTCTCACAAAAATGAAATTTATGTGAAAATAATATGTAAACTTTACTACAAAAGTTGTTATACTTCCACAAGCATGCATGAAGATAAAATACAAATTTTTGTCACTATGGAAGCAGGGTTATTGCCAAGAAGATTGTAGATAAAGCCCAAACAATGCTGATTTAAATGAATTTAAATAGATTTAAAGAATTGATCATGTATTTTAAACTACGTTTAATGTTCTTCTTTCAGTATTCATGTGCTACATACTATACGTTTAGGAAGTGTGTATAATATCCCTGGGAGAATCCTTGGTGACCACCACTGATGATTTGCTTTCCTGTCATCATTGAAAGAAGATTTGTGAAATTGTGTTACAAAAAAACCATAAATCTTCTTTATGTGTTTCTTCCAATAGTAGGTCACTTTACTGTGGATTTGTTGTTGTTTTTATATATCACACTCTGTTTAAATCTCTATGATCATCAGGATGCATTCCACCCCTGAAGTGACAGGGCAAACCGGTCTTCCACAGGGAATAGAGAAGGTGAGAAAGCACAGTTAAAGAGAAATGATAATTGGCCTAAAATATTCATAAGGAGTGGACTTGGGTGGATTTACATAGTACATAAGCATCCCTAAGTCTGAAGGTCTTAGAAGTAGACCAAATACATAGTAACTGGAATACAACATGTGATCTGATTGTATGACAAATTTGGGTACATGAAGTTCTAAATTCTTCATTAAGTCATGAATATTAAGCTAGCCCTAGGATTTAATTTCTGATCTTGTTGAGTGCTGTTTCATGAGGCAAGGAAAGAACTGCAAACTCAAAATTTCTTACTCCCGTGTTTGGAAACAACTCAGTAATACTTGACCAGTGTATTTCAGGTGGTGGTTGCTTTATTTTTAAAGCTATGATATCCTTTGTTCAAAGGAAATTCTAGGAGCCAGGCAAAATAGTCATAAGCAGAACTACTTTATTTAAAGGTGGGGGGAAGGTCTTGAATGGTGAAAGCTTCTTCCTTTTCCTCTGTATCTGGGCAGGAAAGGTGCTTTTGGCATAAGCCCAGAATACTTTGATCTGAATAACACTTAGATGGACCATGAACAGGAAGCAGCTGCTGTTTCTAAAACATGGTTAAAATTCATACATCTTACCTGGAGTAATTAAATTAGCTATCTGATACACTGCCAATTAATTCCACCTCTAAGTGTTGATTATATATTAGTTTCATTCTGTTTGCAGTTTTTATGAAAAATGTTAAAGTGACTTTGGGAGCTCAGCCCTCAGGAACTACTGAGTGGGTAAATTCAAGAAAGCACAAGAAATTTTCCCCTGAGCTAAGTGCTCAAGTAGGAGGGGAGGCCCACTTTAAAGAGTAAAGCAGGAATTAGCAGTATGTGTAGCAGAAACCTGGATATAGAACTAACATCTGGAAGAAGCCAAAGAGTTCTAGAATTAAAAACAAAAATATTTCAACTGGGGAGTCCAAGTCATTCATTCATTCTGTCAGTCAGTCAATCAATCATACATTCAACAAGTATTTTTTAAGAGTATATTGTCTGTCAGACACTTGCTGGCCATGTAGCAAAACTGAAAGATAAATCACATTGTGGGAAGAGCAGATATGTTTTACATAAACCAAATAATACTGGGAAGTAACACTACTTGGATAAATGACTGTATTAGGTCATTCTTGTATTGCTATAAAGAAATACCTGAGACTGGGTTATGTATAAAGAAAACAGATTTAATTGGCTCACGGTTCTGCAGGCTTTACAGGTAGCATGGTGCTGGCATCTGCTTGGCTTCTGGGGAGGTTTTAGGAAGCTTACAATCATGGTGGAAGGTAAAGTGGGAGCCTGCATGTCATATGGCCAGAACAGGGGCAAGAAAGGGGGGTGAGGGAGATGCCACTCTCTTTTAAATGATCGGATCACCTGAGAACTCATATCATGAGGACAGCACAAAGCCATGAGGGATCCGCCCCAGTGATCTGAACACCTCTCACCAGGCCCCACTTCCAGTACTGGAAATTACAATTCAACATGAGATTTGGGTGGGGACAAATATCCAAACTGTATCAGTGACCAAACTCCTTTGGATAAAACAGAAAAAAGAAAAAAGTGAGGTAAGGGGCATCTGAAATGGATGGACTGAGATAGTTATCTCTGTTGTCATGGGTCAGTTGACTCATGCACAAAGCACTTAGGTCAGAGTTTAAAATTAATTTAGATCTATACAATTCTAAATTTTTATCTAGAGACTTTTCAATTTTGCTCTTTTGTTTTTTAAGTTTTTTTTTTTTTTTTTTTAATTTTGAAACTTCGGCCACCTCCAAGTGACGAAGGGGATTACAGCAATTGAAAGGCTCCTGTTAATCCTCTTAGTTTGGTTGTGGGGTGCAGCCTATGGGCCAGTACCAAAAGTGTGATCAGCTAGAGGCTGAGGGGATGTTCTAGATGTAAGACTGAGAGGAAAGAAAGCAATAGAGCACTAGATTGGACCTGGTCTAGTGTGAGGTCCAGAGTACCTCTTTTTCATTGGGTATCTGTGTGTAAGAGAAGCACAGTTGGCCCCTGTCCATAGTGAAGGTACTGTTTCTACTCTATGGAGGATTCTCTGTTCCTAGTGGTCAATGCCAGACATTTCAATTTAGATGCTGCTAAATGAAAATATACATTAGAGGTATCTATTCATCCTACTAAGTATTTATTCTTCAATGTGAATAAAGGATCTGGAAACAATTCTGTTAATCTAATACCTCAGGTGTTGGATCTCTGAAAGAAAATGTGGGAAACCACTGAAGAGAATAATGAGAGCTGAAGATGAGTGTTATTGTAAGGTTCTGCTTTGATGGGGTAGGTTTAGGGGCCTCTAAATTGTAGAGACCACAAAAAGGAAGCTCCTAATAGAAAAATGAGGACTTAAAGGAAAGGGCACTGGATGGAAGAGCTCTGTGCTGTTCTTTGTGGAAGACCCTGTCACCAAAGTTCCCAGTGAAAAGCTCTCAGGGGGATTATGGCTATGCCTTGAGGCTGGGTGGAATTCAGATAGTAAGTTTTCACAAACATTTTGGGGTCCTTACTACATACTGGGTACTGTTACAGGTACCGGTGATAGTGAAGTCAACACAACAGACATGCTGTCTGTGTTAGTGGAGACTAAGGAAGATAGGCAACAAACAGATTTTTATTTCTTAATGCCTTATATAAAAATGTATAAGAATTTAAAATTCTTGTGAAGATAAGTAACTGATTCTAAAGAAGAATAAACAGGGTGACCCTACCTAGTCCTAGAATTGGGTAAGACTTCCCAGAGTAAATGATGCCTAATCTGAGACATGAAGAATGAGGAGGAGCTATTTTGGCATAGAGCTCTGAGTCAGGACCCAAGGAATGGTTCTTTGGAGGTTGGCTCAGAGGCCGAGGGGCAACAAGAAAGCAAAGGCTGATAGGTGAGGAACAACCATGCAGGACCCTGTAGGCCCTGTAACAAGGAAATAAGAAAATCATCTCAAGTAGATAGATATATGGCCTTTAATCCAACTACAGAACTAAACGTGATCATTCCATAGTCCCAACAGAAGCTTTTCTACTTCTTCTCAGTCATGCCAAATGAGATAGGTAACCATGACTTTTTTGTTGTTGTTTTTATTATTTGGAACAAAAATCAGAAATAATTTATAAACAAGAAAATAGGAGTTCCAAAGTTGAGTCATCACTAATTTAATTACATGTGCAGTAAATTCAGGATCCATTCCTGTGTATAGCTCTATAAAGTTAATTTTCAGTTCTTCTCTTCTTATAAGAGTCAACAGACGAGGCAACTCTCCTCATTCCTGAAAAGCATGTATGACCACTGAAATATGAGCCCTTTCCAGTGTTGCTTGGTGACAAAGCTTGTCTCTTTCTATATTTATTTAAAATTTGAAAATAAAATTGTGATGTGTGTAGGGCTTTGTGGTATAGTTTATATATGTAAGTTGCCTTGATTCATGCATTTCTGCATGTTGTCCCTCCAATTTTAAGGTGGGAACATGGAAATTTTCCCTTCTTTGTACTAAGTACAGAGAGGTGCTTACAGGTATTGATTTTAGAGTTGGACTGAGCTGGTTTGACCTTCTATTCCAGCTCTGACCAGCTGTGTGACTACTTCACCATTATCAGGCTCAGGTTGTTCACTTGTGGTGTTACTTGTCTTATAGGGCCTTTGCAGGCAGTGAATGAGCTAATTAATGTTGAGGGCTTAACACAGGGTCTTGCACAATAGTAAGTGTACAATGAAAGGAGCTGATGATTACTTTGATCACAGTTGGCTTATTCTGTTAAAAACAGGTTTTCATGACTCCTTAAAATGTTCTCAGTAGTGACGGGGAACTTAAAATTGTTGTATCAAATTGTTGAAATTGTTGCTCTTCTGGATGGCCCTATCAGATCACATTATACTGTAGTTGGTTTTTATTGGGAAGAGAAGTTCAGGCATGAGGGCCAGTTAGCATCATGTTGAGCACAACTATTGCAAATAGCAGCCCTGTGTTTTCACAACTCTCATAATAAAAAAATGTTCAGTGTGTGCCCTACTTTCCTGGTACAGCTTTAATTCAAGATAATGATACATTTGTAGTGGCTTTTCTATTTCTCGTGGTGTTTTGTTTTTTTTTTTTTTTTTTTTTCAGAGCAAATTGAGTTAAGTAGACCAGTTGTTTTCATGAACTTGCTGCCAAGTGGAAGGATTTTTTCTCTCTTTTCTATAAGGCTAGATATTTAATCTAAAACTACTGTCTCTGTGCTGGGAAGCATCCAACCTCATTACTGTTTAAATGTCTTACTGTCTTTGGAAATTCTGATGAACCCCAATTAGTAACCCATAAACCCCCCCCCCCACCCTGTTCACTTCGTTATTTAAAATAAGGAAATATTAGTGCAAAAACATTTGTATCAGTGTCTAGTCAGGATAACAGAAATTATTCTCAGCTTTTCAAACAGAGGTAATCCAATACCAAGTAATTGTTTACCGATGTGTTAAAAAGCCTGAGGGAGAGAAAAGAGTTAGTTGCTATTACCCAGAATTAGTAATTGCAGGAAGTCACTATTGCCCCTAGAGCTGGAAGGGCAAAGGGGAAAGTGGTATAAGCAGTATTATGTGGACCTTACAAGCATGTACCTGGGAGTGCTGCAGCTGCTGCTGAAACCACCTGACCTTTGCTTTGCAGGCATCCATGAGCCCACAGTCCTGCTGGTGCTACTGGACTCACTGACAAGGTGAGCGACTGGTGCCTACAACCACTGGCTGCTGCCATAATGATGCTGGTATTGCAGAGAGGCAACCACTGGCCTGGTGCTGATTCTGCCACCGCCAAAACTCATGAGCGCTAAGATGCTAAGGCAGTTGGACACAGAAGCAGAAGAAAATTAATCATGGCTTCTTTTCTTCTCCTAACTTCCACTCTCCCACCAGTCCTTTCCTTTGGAAGACCCAACCAGAGACCAGCTAGCAAGGGGATCTGGAATAGGTACTTTACTGGCTTCAAGCCAGCAGTTTACAGGCATGCAGTCCCAGAGTAAAGTTGAAAGAGTGAGAATAGAGCTGAATGCTATCAGACAAATACCCAGCACTGTATTTAGACCATTTAATATAAGATTGCAGAAACTGGCCGGGTGCAGTGGCTCACGCCTGTAATACCAGCACTTTGGGAGGCTAAGGTGGGTGGATCACTTAAGGTCAGGAATTCGAGATCAGCCTGGCCTGGCCAACATGGTGAAACCCCATCTCTACTAAAAATATAAAAATTAGCCAGGTGTGGTGGCATGTGTCTGTAATCCCAGCTACTCTGGAGGCTGAGGGACGAGAATAATTTGAGACCCAGAGGCAGAGGTTGCAGTGAGCCGAGATCACACCACTGCACTCCAGCATGGGTGACAGAGTGAGACTCCATCTAAAAAAAAAAAAAAAAAAAAATTGCAGAAACTGAGAGGAAGTGGCATTAACTAATGAAGGAAATTATTTTCTGAATATATATGTATATATCTGTTATACAGAAATCTAAAGAATGGGTACAAATATTTATATTCAACTCACACCTCATGTATTAGTTTCCCACTGCTACTGTAATGAACTACCACACATTTAGTGAAAAAAATAACATAAGTTTATTATTTTGCCATTCTGTGGGTCAGTGTCACTAGGCTATAATCAAGTTATAGGTAAAGCTGCCCTGCTTTCTACAGGTATTCTCTCAAAAGAGAATTCATTTTAATGTTTTTTTTCCAGCTTCTAGATAGAAGTTCCCTACATTCTTAGGCTCATTGCAACCTATCTCCATTTTCAAGCTAGAAACTTCCTCTCATGCTGCCATCTTTATGATTCTCTGTATTGGGAAAAACTCTTTGCTTTAAATAACTCATGGTTCGATCGGGCCCACTTGGATAAGCCAGGATACTCTTCCCATGTCAAGGTCTTTAGTTTTAATCCCATCTATAAAGTCTCTTTTGACATGCAAGACAGCACTCACAGGTCCTGATCGTGGACATCTATGAAGATCATTATTCTGCTTACTATATCTCAGAATTTTAGACTCCTATACATCTGTAGTTATTCACTGGCTATTGTTTTCCTTAGAAATCTCAAACATGTAATCTTTAAAACAAAATTACTCTTCCAACAAATATTCTTCCCCCTTGGTTGGGGACATTGTCTTCATCTAGCAGCCTAGGCTTGAAGCTTGAGAATATTTTTCTGTAGTCCCTCATTAGATTGGGAAATCTGCTAATTTTCATTCCTAAATATATCTCCAATCTACCCCTACCCTGCACTTCTCTTACCACTCCTATATCCTGCCAAGGAAGGCAGGCATTACCCTGAAAGTACTTCTTGATTAATGGTGCCTAGCATTGTACTAGCTGGTGGAGCCGCCGATATGCATAAGGTATCCATGTTGTCTGCTCCAATGGAATGTGCAGTCTAGCATGGAAAGTGCACATTAAACAAATAAATCTGTGGTAAATGTCCATTTCTGATCTTTCTGCTCATGGCTCCCCAGTTCCATTTTCAAAAATTGGGGTTTTAAAATTTCTGAATATTCTAAAGAGAGGACAATTTGTGTTATTTAAAAGTAATCAAAGTAAGTACTTTTTGTGCATGTGTGTCACTTTTCCCTGATTCTGAGATATAAAGATGGCAAAAAAGACTACTAAATGACATGTCAAGTATGGCAATTTAATTTTAATAAAATCCAGCTAGAATGGCTTTAGGGCTCATCTCCATCAATTGTTGTTTAAATGAGATTAAGTTGAAGATTTTAGGCCCCCACACTAGACTTAATGAATCAGAATGTCTGGAGTAGGGCCTGGGCTATGCATTTTAAACAAGTATTCCATGAATTTTTTGTGCCCATTGACATTATGAAATTATTGAACCAATGTCAACTCATGAATAATCCCTGGATTTATAACACTGAGGCCAGAGGATGAGGAAGGTTTCATGGCTGGCTCACTGTCTGTTCTCTCCTTTTTCCGCTAGTAACTCCTGTGAATATTCTCTGTGAAGCTTCCATGGTGACTAAATATCTCCCTAGTGCCCAGTTCACAATCAGAGTAACATGCAGGAAGCACTCACTATATGCCAGACATACGGTGCTAAAGTCAGCCTTTCACGTGTTGTCATATTTAATCCTTAACACAACCTTAAGCTGGAGACACTGTTATCTTTCATTTGCAGATTAAAGATCGAACTTTAACTTCACATTTTACTACATTGCATGGAAGAGTGCTGGGGCTTCATTCCAGGGCTTTCAAATTACAAAGCTCAAATGTGAAACTACTTCTCTGAGAATTGACTATTATTCCCTCTCTGTGCCACCATGAAAATTTTCATATTCTTTTATTACAGAATAATGGCATTTAAATTGTTGATTCACATATCTGTTCTCCTTTCTTCGATTCCCCCAGCAATAGGATCAGTGTCTTCTTTATCCAAGTAAATGATAGCCCTAAGGTGCTACAGGGTCTATGCGTTAGAAGATACTCAAAAAACTGTCCAACTGGTCATTCATTCATTCAATCTCAGCTGATTTAGAGTGGGTCAAAATGTAAATATTAAGTAAAAGTAAAATTTGGGTATATACATAATCAACAAAATTAAAAGATAAAACTTATATGAAAAGGTGTGCAACATCACTGATCATCAGAGAAATGCAAATCAAAACTACAATAAGATGTCATCTCACTCCAGTTAAAATGGCTTATATCCAAAAGACAGGGAATACAAAATACTGGTGAGGATGTGGAGAAAAGGGAACCCTTGTACACTGCTGGTGGGAATGTAAATTAGTACATTCACTAAAAAGAAAAGTTTGGAGGTTCCTCAAAAAACTAAAAATTAGAGACATACTCATATCTTCAGCAGTTAATTTGTATGTATAATGAACTGATATTCAGACTTTTTTTAAGTAAGAAATTAATGGTAAATACTTTTTTGTCTTTTTTTTTTTTTTTTTTTTGAGAGAGGATCTCACTCTGTCACTCAGGAGGGAGTGCAGTGGCATGAGCATGGCTCATTGCAGCCTTGACCTCCCAGGACTCAGGTGATCCTCCCACCTGAGCCTCCTGAGTAGCTGGGACTACAGGTGCACCACTATGCCTGGCTAATTTTTGATTTTTTGTAGAGAAAGGGTTCCACCATATTGCCCACACTGGTCTCAAACACCTGGGCTCAAGCGATCCGCCCACTTCAGCCTCCCAAAATGCTAGGATTACAGGCATAAGCCACTGCATGTGGCCTAATGGTAAAGACTCTAATTGACAATTACAAAAAACTATAAAGACGCTTTCTGAGAACCCAAAGACATCAAAAGTGTGTAAATTCAAAAGTGAAGCAAATACTTTTCAACAATTTTATCTCACGTAAACTGCAAATAATGATATAATTTGAAATCTCTTATCTTTCTTCACAGGAAGAAATAAAAATGTGTATTTTGCTTCCCTTATCATTATGCACTTTTACTTATTTTATAATGTACTAATTCTGTTCATGGGTATGAATATTAAAATCTAATTTATACATCAGGCAACAAGGCACAGTAGTATTATTATCTCATTCTTTTAGGCACATGTAGTTAAGCAACACATTTCTTGTTAGAAACACATAATGGAAACAAAACCCCATAAAAGCGACACAAGTCTATTTTAATCTTAGAATTTGAGTTCTTTAAAAAACAATAAAAATTCCTTCGTATGTATATTAAGCCATTTAATTGAAAGAGTGGAGTAATTTTCTGATATTCACATTATTATTGAAGAATATAAGAAGGGTTTCCATAATGCATACTAATAGAAGTTAATTAAATGATCAGGGTCTGGTTATCTGAATTGGCATTCAAGCGTTTATTGAAGTGTAGCTCATGTTCTTCCTGAGGATATTAAGAGCAGCAGCAGAAGCCTGCTTAAGGACTTACCCTGGGCTTTGACTTGCTAAAACATGTTCTAGAGTATCTTCAGCCTACTGACTCCTTGTTGTAGAGACATTATATATCAGCAGCTTGACTAATTGGTCTAACATTCTTGAGGTCACCCAGGGCTACTGGTCAGAATTCAAAACTTTTTATGTCCTTGTCACAAAGTTGATCATCATAACTGCATTATGGAAAGTGTGGGCCAGCAGACTATATGCCAAACACAGCTTAATTCAATAAACATTTATGGAGTTGCTGATAATTTTCTTATATCATTTATTTTATTTAATATTTCTGTACTCATTCAATTTACAAAATGCTGAGACCCAGAGGCTAAACAAACTACTCAAAGTCACAGTTAGTGAGTGAAAAATCTGAGATTTGAACACAGATCCTCAAATATGAAACCTGGGATTCTTTCTGCCATGTGTGAGTAGGTTCCTTTGAAAATATCCTCAGGTTACTCAGGCTCTTATTAGCTTCAAGAGACAAAAACCCCCGCGACACTTTACCTGACTTAAGCATAAAAGAATTAATTGATTGAGAGGACTCAGGGGTAGAAAATGTCTCCAGGCCTTGGCCAAGATGGGAAAGGAAATTGGGAGCTGAGGTGACTCATTGTTTATAGTCTATTTCCAAATATCTCATCTCTGCTTCTTACTTTAGTTTCATAATTTGCTGCCTTATAAAAGGGCTTTCTACACCAATTTGTAAGTAGTGACTATCCCAGCTTTTGTGTGAGTGCGTGTGTGTGTGTGTGTGTGTGTGTGTGTGTGTGTTGTGTAATAGGGCAAGAGAGGAGAGAAAAAGAGATTGGGTTGGGGAGGAGAGGGTGACAGGGTCACACATCTGTATCTCACTCAGGGAACTATGGAAAGATACACTCTGAGAAAAGTCCATGGGCAGCTCTATCAGAAGGAGATCAGAGGAGGGACAGGGAGGACATAATTAATAGAAATAATCTGCATTATTTATGCAAAGCCTTTCTCGTACAGCACTGTTAAACACTGATAGTTAACCCCCTGGTTCTTCCACTTGATTAGGAGCCATTTTATGAATCTTAATTGGTTTCTTTATTTCAATTTAGTTATATATATACATATATGTATATACGTGCACATGTATTTATATACACTAATATCTCCACCTCTATATAATTATATTTCAAATATGCAAATGTATGTAATTTTATTTACACAGGCATTTTATTTCCATTAATTAACTAGGAGTCTCCTTCATCAAAGAGATATTTTGATGCTTCTTGTAGAAACACACAGTGGGAAAACATTGCCTTATTGTCATTTATAAAGTAATTACTTATGTTTATGCAACCATCACTTGGTTAATATTAGCAGGGAGAACAAGGTAGTGTGAGAAATAAGAAATGGTGCTTCTGTGAGTAGAACTTGCTTAGCTATGGTTTTCCAGCTCCTCTGATATGGTACAGTATTCTGTGTAAATATCTTTAGCAGCAAGCATGGGTGAGTGGTCTTCCTAAGAATCATCGCACAAATAAGCATTTGTGTACAAGAGGACTCTTGGGGGAAGCATCATACTTATTTCAACTTAATATTATGTGAGATCACTAAACATTTCTTCAGTTACAGAATCACTGGCACTTCTGCAAAAAGGCCAAACGTGCAAATGTCAAACTGATAATTACCTTCCCTTTATGTGGTAAAAGGAATATAGAAACTGTGGAAATCATCTCATTAAAAGGTAATATTGAGTACCTTCATAAAAATCATCCTGGTTAAAAATAATTCAAAACTTTGTCTCTTACAGTTTATTATTCAGCTCCCTCACCCCATAAGTCAACCCACTAAGCACGTGGCTAAAGTGCCAGACTTATAAATACTTGAAGTTTTTGCATGTCGTTTGTGCTTTGTGAGATTGTAGAAAGTAACAGTAATGTGTGGATTTTGGGAAAAATTCTATACCCAAAATAAGGCAGTAGAAGTGTAGTCCTGATTTCAAGGGGAGAATGAGAAAGATGGGGACTACCTCTAGCTTCCACACTCCTATTGATTAGTGCTGTGACTTTGGGCGCATCTCTACATGCTTCATTTTCCTCACTGAGACACTGGGCTGGAATAGACAGTATTAGAAGTTCCCTTAGTGTGATGTCTTCATCCATAATATCTTAGAGGTATGATAGTCATATTTCTTAAAAAATAGTACATTTTGAAAAGAGATGCTGATCATTGTCGAAGGTGAGTGATGGGTAAATAGGTTTGTTATACTACTGTCTTCACTTTTGTGAATAAAAATGTTCAGAGAAACAGGGAAAGAGAAACATAGCTGCAGAGAATCGTTACAATAATATGGGAATGGTAAAAGAGTAGATTGAACTTCCTTGCATCTTCCATCCTAAAAAACATGATACGTTAGTTTATTCTAAGAAGTTACTGCAACATAAAATGTGATATAAACGGTAGAACATAGTAGGAAATGGGAACAGAGAAGTTGGAAAAATTTCCAAGGCCCCTTGGGTCATTTTGGTTGAAATGCTTTATCATTTTGTTATGAATGTCATATAAGACATATTCATAGTCAAGTTTAATGAATATACATTTAATGAATATACATTACAAGTTTCATGAATATAATTAATGAATATACATTACAGAGATAAATGGTTCATGAATTCACCATCATTTTGGATCATGCATTATTGCTCTTTAAAGTCATTAGTTTGGAAAAGTGAGATTTGATTATAATTTGTGACTTGCTAGCATGCCCTAACTGGGCAAAAAAAGAAGTGACCTGGATAAGGGCCAAATTTCAGAGCAAAATTTATAAATACAATGTGGCTGATCCATAAAGTATATAGAACACAGGAGACAATCTGCAATTAACTGTAAAAGTTTGACCATGGAAATAGCAGTGTATTAACCCAAGGCTTGAGCTGTAACATTAGAGCTTGCACATATTCTAAACTCACTTTCTGCACAGCTTAGTTTCTTCTAGAGATTAGTGCAATTATTTATCTAAACAAATGTTTATTAAGAAGACAACATGCTGTTCCTGAGCTGTGTACATAGTCACTCGGGGACCTTTAAAGTCCAGGATTATTATACACTGCCATTCAAAACTGGATAGAGCCCTTTTACCCTGGGGCCACAATTGGACATTGAATCTCACATGAAAGGACAGAACCAACCTCACTGGAAACCAGAATAAAGAGGTGATCTTCCTTTTACCAAAAACTTTAGAATCCTAAAAGTGACCTTTATATTTTTAAATATACTCCGCACATTCACTGCCAACGGCCAAGCTTTTGGAAATACTGTCTATACTTGTTTCCTCACCAGACTCTCGCTCCTCAACCCACCAAATCCTGCTTCTGCCTCTGCCACTTTGCATAGGTCACCCTCTCCAAGTCACCAGTGACCTTCTTGTTATTAAACTTACTTTTACATTTCTTTGTTACTTGACTTTGAGGCAGAAATTGATGTTGTTGAGTATTCTCCTCTTTAGGGAATGTTCTTTTCTTTCTCTGCTTTTCTTTTTCTGCTTCTTGGCAATTTAAATTATGTTATCTTAGATTTCTTTGTAGATGGCTCTTTTTATTTTCCGTAGGCATTTCTCAAGATTTAGAATGAGGCTTTCTTCTCTGCTTATTCTATATATTTGTGTGGGTAATAGATAGCACCATTCCTGAAGTCTCAGTCATTATCCAGAAATTGATTTACAAATCTTCATGTTCTTGACAGATCTACCTATGAGCTTTGAGGAAATACATCAAACTCTGTATTGGACAGTATAACGTTGATGATTCTCAGACACCTCAAATTCGGCATGTTCAAAACGACAAACCTCATCTCACTCCCTGTGAAACCCAAACTGTTGCTCCTCCAATATTCTTGATCTTAGGGAATGGCATCTTCACCTGCCTGGTACTTCATCCTAGACTCTTTCCTCTTCTTAACATTCTATTTTCAGACAAATACCAAGGTATTGGACACGTCTCTTGATTCTTTCCACCTCTTTCTATTCAGTAAAGGACACTATAGGAGTCTGTTTTTGTACAGACTTCTATTATCTCTTTCCTAGATTGTTGTAATAGCCTCTTCTCTTAAGGTGTATCTATACAGTCTCGTTACCTAGTTCTCATCCGATCTGTTTCCCACAATTCAGAGTGGTCCTTCTATAATGCATAACTAACCATAGTATTTCTCTCATAAAAATAAAACTGCTTTCCATTTCTATTAAGATAAGGTCATGATACTTCTTTATTCCGCTTTAAATGTTTGCATAATCTGGCCCCATACCTTGCTATCCAGCCTCATCTCTTATGACTCCCCTTTGTACTTGAGGCCCTGCCTTGTAGAAATTCTTTCAGTTCTCCCAACACAGTATGCTTCTTCTTGCCTTCAGATTTTAGAATATCCCTCTGCTAGAATACATACATATATAGATAAGTACATAAAATCTCCTCTGCCAGGAACATTCCCCTCCTACTCCTTGACTTTTAATTGGCTTACTTCTATTTAACTTTCAGAAATCCCTGTGTCTTTGTTCTCTTAGAGGCATTCCTGATCCTCTAAATTAGGTGAAGTTAGGAAACCATTGTAACTTGTATATCCAGGATGACAACACTTATTATAATTGTTTAATTTCCTTTTATATGTCTGGGGTGAAGGGAGAAAGATCCTGCATGCTCTCTAAGGTAGAAATTATGCTTATTTTGCTTATGATTGTACCCCTGCTGATGCTTGGCAAAGTGCCTGACACTGTTTTTCAGCTCATCCTTGCTGAATAACTAAATGCAGAGAGAAAATAAAATGTAATATTTGTCATATACTCCCAGTACCATTTGAGAGAAATAGTGGGCAAGCTATTTCAATATAGTACCAAAGGACACCTTGGCACCTAAATTTTAATTGCAAATAGAGTAGATGCTATACCAGTGAATTTGGGGAGAGCTATAGAGAGCCCTTTATGTGTTTGTGTCTTCCATAGTCCCTAGGATATGACTCTGCATATAATGGGCAATCAATAAATAATTCTTGGATTAATGTTTGAATGACTTTTATTTGACTAAAGGAAGAAATTAAGCTCAATAAGCACTGCTGATTTTTTTTCTCTTTACTGAATGCAGATATAAGATTAAGGGGAGATGTAGGAGATTTCAGGCTAAGAATAATCTTTGGGCTAATTCCTCTTTTAGCTTAATTTATTTTAATTTATCAAACTGCTTTTATTCTGTTTTTCTTTCCTAGGAGTTCCTCACTTATATCAGAAAATACTGTTAGTGCCTAGCTATTTCAACAAAGAATAAAATTTAATATAATTTATATGACCTACACCTCATCTAAAGATAGCAATACTGGAGATATCCAACCAGGAAGGAGCAATTTTTGCTTGATAATTCCAACAAAAATTGTTTGATTTCCATTTCAATAATGAAAATATTGATAATGGCCTGTTTATGAGATTGCATAACACTTTTGATAAAAGTAAAATTAACCTTATGGAATAATTCTTACAGATATTTTAAATGATTCCTTTTTGTGATAAGACACTAAATATACAAATGAAAAAAGGCCATGGCAATTGTTTACAAGTTGCTGGCAGGAAGATGAGTGTGCACACAAACATGGCAGCAGAATTTCTAGAATGTGGTTGAGTACCATGTACAGTGAGGACAGAAAAAAGTTCCTTGAGTTTGCCAGTCTTCACAGAGGACATAATTTGATTGCTAAGCAGAATTTTGCTAAGAGAAGTGAGGAAGGGTGATAGAAGCAAAGAGCATGGAAAAATTAGGGAACTGTTAGAGAACAAAGTGTGAGAAAAGACTATGAGAAAGGAGAAAGAGACAAGAGAAAACCATAAGGTGAATCTGGGTAGCAAAGTAAGCATGGATCAGAGAATCAAGGCTTTGCAGATTATTTATTATAGAATTTTGCTTTTTATCCTGAAGGTGAAATGGAATCCATTGAATAATTTTGATCAGGGGAATAATATTTATTGAGTGCTGACTATACTCAAATTACTGTGAATTTACCTGTTAACCAAATAGTGAACTCTGTGAGTAAGTGTTTATGCACACTTCTTTAAAGATGTTCCTTCTCATTGAGTTTAAAGGCCTTATTACTAGGAGTTTACATATATATATGTGACAGATGAATCTGAGAATATTACTTAAAAGATGAGGTTTGCACAGTTTTGTTGCAGTGAATTTAACTGTTTCAAACTGTGAATTCTGTAATGAAGTGTTTAAACGTTCTTCAAAGATGTCACCATATGATGGGAACTTTACACCATTGTTTTATGGGTTAACACCAATAACTAATCGTAAAATACAGATCCTGTTATCACTCTCATTGTGCAGATGAGGAAACTGAGGTACAGAAAGGTAAAGAAACAAATTACACTTCTAAAAAGTTGTAGAACCCGGTTTCAGTTCAGCAATTTGACACCAGAGTGGCTCTCTTGATTAAACCTTCTGCTATACTGTCTTTATGTTTGATAGAAACATGACATAACTGAGAAGAGAGAGTAGGAAGAAGAAATTGGAGTGAGGAAAATGCCTAAGCAGGGCACAGAAACAAGATCAGACAATGGGAACACTGTGGAAAACAGATGAGGATTGGATTGATTGGCTGTCAATCATAAAAAGAAAGAAAGGAATCTAGGATAATTTTTGAATTTCTGACTTAGCAGCCGTTTGGAGAGTGGTTCATTTTATAGCAACAAAGAGGGTATAGGGAGGGGTAGGTTGAAGGAATGTGGCGGCAGGGAATGATGCATTCATCTAGTGCATGTGGAGGTGCAGATGCCTGTGGGGTTCCAGTGGGACTTCTTGAGAAGGCCCTGCATGAGGACTGGAGGCCAGGTGGAATTTGGTGTAGTAGTGAAGAAAACATGTAGAATTAAATCCAGAACCCCTAATCATGGCAACAAGGCCCTACATAGTGTAACCCTGGCCACTGTCACCAACCTCACTCCCCTCTTGCTTCCAGTACTCTGGTCTCTCTGGTATTCCTTCTGTCCTTCAACACACCAAGCTTGCTCCTCCCCCAGAGCCTTTACACTTGTTGTTCTGTCATATAGAATGTTCTGACCGTTACCACCCCACCTCTTTTCATTCAGATCTCAGTTTGAGAAGGCTTCACTGACCACCGAATGTAAACCAGACCCATTAGTTACTGTCAACATTATGACTTTTTTCATAGCACATGAAACCATCTGAAGTCATTTTCTCTATTTGTTTATTTGTTTTTTGTTTCCTCTTCCAGAGTATATGCTCACTGGAAACACTGGCCTTGTCTTTTTTACCATTGTATCTTCAGGGTGTAGGCAGGAATGCAAACAACATAGTTGTATAACACATATTTGTTAAATGAATTAATGAAGATACAAACATGTATTTGAAGTCATTATCTCTTAGATGGGAGTTGAGGTCATGGCATTAATTAGAATGAATTAGAGAAGTGTGCAACTAGAGTGATCAGGGAAAGAGAAGAATGCCTTGACAACACTATTATTCTCTTCATATCCTCTTTAAGGATAAATGGTAATCTTTTCAACTGAAATTACAGGTGAACTAATTCTATAAATATTCACATTCAGTTAAAAATGGTTTCTTTTTCATTTGAAATTTATATCTACTTATGCTTAAATAAAATATATTTGGTCTAAATTGTATGGAAAATCTCTTTTACATTTCTGCCTATATAGAAACATACTAGCAAAAGTATTTTAATAAATCCAAAGTCCAACCATTGTTAGAAATTAACAACTAAACAAATAACCAAAATAAAATGTATCAAAGTTGGTCTTTCAAAAATATAAGAAAACACAGAAATGGTAATAAGAACTAGTTTTTTTGTATAGCAACTCAACATGAGGCCAGCTAATATAAAATTTTTCTCAGATATTATAAACTGTCCATACCAATAAAAAGTTCTAAACTAATGAGAAAAAGTGAGTAGACAGGCATAATTTGCTTAAAGTTACTTACTTGTAGAGGAATAAAGGTCTGCATAATTAATGTGGTGAAGTTAATAATCACAAGACCCTAAATGGGAGAATACTGTTATCTTGCTTTTATTGTTACTGTTGTTACACTGTTATACCAGTATACTGTTACATTTCCTTTTACCATTGGCAAAACACCTTAATGTCTTTAGGTCTCAGAATCTTTATCTGTGGAATAAGAGGAGTCAAACAGATATTTGAAAGGTACTTTTTGGGTTCTCTCTGTATGCTCTTAAAATCTATGCACTGTTTTTACTACATACATCCTGTCCACAGGTAATCAGGAAATTTAAGTAACTGACCACAAGGGGGAGAACTTTAATTCTGCATTAAATTATTTAATACAATATGAAATGATTTGAAAGTACTTGGCTATGTGAGGTTGGTGATAGGCTGCTTCATTTCCACTTCCTTGTGGAAGTTGGGGCATTCTACTGCTAACGATAGGTTTAACTTAATTGAAATGTGGTTTTGTGTTTGTAGAGTTATGATACAGTCACTGGATGTCAAATTCTATTTGTATTAAGCAATAATGCTCCATGAAGGGATCCAGATGCCTTTTTTATTAAATTTATGATAGTAGAATGTTAGAATTCACCCTGGAAGAGTTTTTCCTTTCAAGTAATATTATTTAAGTTATTCTGCAAGAAATCTATTACCTTCTTGAATGTCAACTCTGAAACAAGCATAGGATTATCAACGGGGCAGTCTGTACTCAAGTATTCATATAAAAAGAAAAGAATTAGAATGGTGCTGGCCACATCATTTGAATGTTATGTGATCATTGGCTTTATATATATGTTCGCTGTTATATGAATATTAAATATTATATGTTCACACTGTTAAATATTCATTTTTCTGTGGGTTAAGTTATGTACTCTTATTTAAAATTTTATTTTAAGGCAACTATAGCTTTCTTTATTTTTAAAATATTTTATTTGAAGTTCCAGGTACAAGTGCAGGACGTGCAGATTTTTTACGTAGGTAAATGTATGCCATGGTGGTTTGCTGCACCTGTCTTCCCATCCCTTAGGTATCAAGCCCCACGTGCATTAGCTATTTACCCTGATGCTCTCCCTCCCCTTGCACCCCTGACAGGCCCTAGTGGGTGTTGTTTCCCTCCTTGTGTCTATGTGTTCTCAATGTTCAGCTCCCATTTATAAGTGAGAACATGAGGTATTTGGTTTTCTGTTCCTGCATTAGTCTGCTAAGGATAATGCCCTCCCTTCTCCATCCATGTCCCTGCAAAGGACATGATCTTGTTCCTTTTTCTGTATAGTATATATTCATAGTATTCCATATCACATATCACATATACATATATCACATTTTCTTTATCCAGTCTATCACTGATGGGCATTTGAGTTGATTCCATGTCTTTGCTATTGTGAATAGGGCTGCAATGAACATACGCGTGCATGTATCTGCATTCTATTATAACTTTCATTGAGTTAAGAATTACCTTATCAGTCATACTAAGGCTTAAAAGTTTACATTTTGGATTTCATTAAGCTAAATTTGTAAGGTATAAATGTAAGATTTCTGGATTTTATCAAATGTACCCAAACATACACAGCTAAATGAGTCCAATTTAAAGACATTATATCAGTGACCTATATAAGTATCTCAATAACTCATTTGTTACTGAAGACAATTTGTACTTCCCCTTAGAAGCATTGTCACGCTCTTTTTAATATGTTCAGTGACAGCAGATCTGTCTTTGAGAGTGAGTATAAATTAAAAAAATTCTATCAATGGAGATCAAATCTTAAAGTTACTAATTAAGTTGGAGTATAACAATAATTTGGAGATCAAAAATTAGATATAATTAAAATATTTAAGCTCCCTTTGATTTATAAACCTCCTTTATTCAACTGCCAAAGGGTCCCAAAATGTTTTCAGCAATGGTGTTGCTACCTGGACAAATATAAATCTTCCTGAAGTGACTCCTATACGGGGTAAATTTATTTGAATACATTCATTCTGATGTGTTCACAAAAATGAACAAATAACTATATAAATGAAATTGTTTATAGTCACACTGTGTTTATTTTCCAGTTATTTTCATAGTGAGCCTTCATGAATTCTTTAAAATTACGATATGCTAAGTAAATCAGCAATTTTATCGTTGAGAGATATTCTATAACTTCTTCCAAAAATGATTAAGATTGTTAATAATTCTCTTTTTGGCTTAGTGAATTAGGTTTCTATTGGTATTCTCACACCAAAAAGTATTATAGACCCATAAAAAATCTATGCCAGGCAGTGTGTTGAATATACCCCCTATTGCTACTTGTACACCCAGTGACTAGCACAGTGATTGGCCTACTAGTACATTTTTACCAGTAGCTATCCAATAAATTTTGGTACATAAATTAATGAATAATAAGTGATACAAAGAGCTTATACACGTATATATTATTTTTCCCATTACATATGTATTATTTTTCCACAGTGCTGCGTAATCATTCACCCAAACCTTAGTGGTTAAATAAACAATAATCACTAATGTTCACAGAACTCTGATTTGGGCAGGACTCAGTGGAAACAGCTCATTTCTTCTCCACACAATGTCAACTGAGCTGGCTTCCCAGGTTTACTGGAAGCCTGGGGTCTGGGGTCACCTGAAGTCTCACTCACTCACATGTCTAGTGGATGATAGGGGCTGTTGGCTGCGACCTTAGCTGGGGATGTTGTCTGAAATTGCTGGATTGCTCACAGCATAGTGTTTGAATTCCAGGAGCTAGCATTCAAGTGAGCAAGGCAAAGTGCACATTTTTATGACCTAGCCTTCGAGATCACACGGAATAACTTCTTTTGTATTTTATCGGTTAAGGCAGTCACAGAAGAGGTCTGCCTGCATTCAAGGGGAGAGAGTTAGAAGCCACTACACAATGGGAGGAATATCAAGCTCATGTTGTAAGAAAGGCATGTGGGATTGGATATATTGCAGTAACCATTTCTGGAAAATACAATATGCCATATTTTCTGATTTATAAATATATAATTTTTATCCAAAATTCAAACTTCTATTCACTAGATAACTTTAGAAAATAATATTCCCAAACAAAATTCACCCTGCTAAAGGAATTCTATCTGATCCAATAAACATTTATTATCCATTATTCTCTTACATATGCTCGTCTTCTCTCCCAAACCACTTTCACATTCATGCTAATCCTGGACCAAGGATTGTATCTTTGTTGAACGTTTTCTCTATTCCTTTTTTGCTGGGAAAATATTTACTTACGTTTCCAGTCAGTTTATCACTAATCATTTACTATTGACATGCCCCTGTGTCTTTTTCACAGTTCAAAGAATAGACAGCATAATGCTGTTTAATATTAGGTGTTTTTTTCTAAATTGATATAAATTTTGAAAGTTATATACTCTTTCTTAGCTAGAAGAATTCTCATTTTATCTTAAACATTTTTTTCTGTTACTAACTTGAAAGAAACTTCAGTTAAAACTGAAAAATACCATTCTAATTAATGAAGTATTACAAAATTTGGAAAATAGAATGGTCTTCCCTAAAATTTGATTCTGTTATGTAACAATGATGCATATCATTTTTGTTTATTATATACATTTTGTTTGTTACATACAATTTGGTCAGTATTTTCATATGCAGAACAAAATTTTCTTCAAATGAAAAATTGAGGTGCACACTGAGATTGGTTTGTCCTCAAAGAAGCTAAAAATGAAAAAAAAATAATAAAAAATAAAACTATAATGATAAGTATTTTCTCCATTAACTCCAAAGTTGGTTTCGTAAGATGTTAAGGTGATTTGGGACAAATATCATTGCAGTTTTCAAAATATTGATGTCAATTAATTGTTTAAACAAGCTAAAAACTTTTAAACAATGCAAAAAATATTCATCTGGATAAAAGAAGGGATCAACTTGAAATTGGTCACATAGAAATTATATATAATTAGTTGCTTTCTAGAAAGTGAATTGAGAAAATAACCAGATTGTTTATTTTACATAAAATCATTTAGAAGTAAGTGTTAATAGTGGGCAGATAATGTTTTCTGTGTACCCTGCCATATTCCTCAGTGCCTGGCAAATGTTTGTAACATAGAGGGATGTTCAATAAATGATGTTGCATGGAGTAGCACAATGCCACCTGATAATGTATTTTCATTTCATTCCGAATAGCTATTGTTTTCTGTAGCTTTATAATGGTCTCAATATTCTTGATTATATAGGCCAGAATATGTGGGCTTTGGAAATATTTTCAATAATTAGATTTTGTTTTCTGAATGCAGGAATTATACAGTGATTATTCCTTTACTTGTGCTCTCAAAGCCCTTCCTATATACTGCTACTATAATGATATATTATATTACATTATATGTCATATCGTAACTACTTCTACATGTACTTGCCTCTAACCTGAGGTTGCAAGCAACTCAAGGGTGGGATTTTTCTTCTCGATTTTGTACCCTCAGAACACTATACTTCTGCTATGTAGTAGTGACTGTTTATTAACTCTTGAGGGATTGGATGATAATCTGAATTCCGTTTGTCTTTTTTCAGCCATACTTTTTTTTGAAAAGTGTCAATTCATGAAAATGATGTTAATATTTGAGAGCTTATGATAAACTTATTAAACCCATCTACCTAGTAAAATAATGTATTGAACTTAATACCACAACAAATAGATACATTTTAAAGTTTAGCTCAACATACTCTATAAAGATTAATATATTACCTCTGTGTATATTGCAATGTTCTGTTTCTTTTAAAAGACACCAGTAACTTTAAAAATGTTTTTTTTATTTAAGTAGCACAAACTCCTTAAGAGACATGGGCACATTATCCCTCTCAATCCTAGAAACGTGAAGGAGCAGGCCATACCACCTCAGAATCCAGAGTGATGTGTATGGGTCTATTATACATGTTTATAAATGTTGCCGGGTCCATGAATTCTTCGGATTTGCACAAGTACTTTATGATTTGTTCTGGGAGGAGTAGGTCAGGTGCAACTTGGTGTAAGTTATCGCCTGGTCCTTTAGTGCCTACTTTCATAGTCTGGCAAAGGTAGAGTGACAGTTTATGAGTTTGTGTGAGAAAATCTGTGATGACCTCCTTTAGGGACTGTGACTGTGTCACATCGTCGAGATACATAACTGGAACTTTTATCACTGAAACATGCCATTGCATAAAAAGCCTCATTGGAATGTTATGAGAAATGACTATAATTTTCATTTGTTGAATAAAAAATACTGTTTCATCTTTGACATGGCCAATATAATCTAAAAGAACTTTGTAGAGAGTGTCGCTGGAGGACTCGAGGATATGCAGAATGGAAGTGGGATAGATGAGCAGCAATCCTGTCACTGCTTCTCCTAGGTGATGTTTCAAAACTGACTGAAACATTTGTTCATAGTAGTCAGCAACATCTTTTCTTTCTACATTTGCTTGTATCTTGGCCACTAGAAACATCCTATCAAGAAGGAATTTCTTTAGGTGTAGTCGTTGTTTCTCTTCTTGAAAGTGCAGGTAATTGCTACGTGGGACTTGGAGAAAAAGAAGAGGTTCCAGTGGCAAAGGCCTTTTGCTGCCCTTCTGGTTATGGACCGAAAAGGACATGAGGAGTCTTATTTATTTTTCCAGATGATTCCAGCTTTTAGCTTATCATAATATTTATGCTGCCAGGGTACCTCTTTACTGATGAACTCGTGTTTTTATTTCTTCTGACAAAAAAAAAAAGAGTAAATCACGGTTTGTCAAATGTTACTAAATAGTAAAATCCCAATCTTTTGCCAGTTTTATCAGGAAACAATGTATTTGAAATGAAAGACAATGTTAAAACAATACTCAAACTATAGACTTTTTTAAAAGTTTACAACGAAAGAGTTAAATAATATCCTAGGAAAAAACTTTGTAAATGTCATGTAATGGTGATTACAGATTGTCCTTTATAAGCCAAATTTTTTAAAAATGGTATTTTATGGTAATTCTTCCAGTTTCTTTTACAAATCTAACTGATCTATAACTTTTAAAAAAAAATCCAAGGCTTTTTAAGTCCTAATTAGCTTATGTAACCTTTAGTCATGTCACTAATAGTTAATAATGTTCCTTGAATAATAACAGTAAACATTTCAAGGGAAAAGTTTTGGTTCTTTGTTTTTTCTCCTATCGACGAATCTCAGAAATGATTCATTTCTCCCCCCTTTATTTGTTTTCTTGTTGTTTTTGTTGTTGTAAGGGCTACATGAAAGTATTCTGCTACTTTAACTTACTCTGCTTACAAATCTCCTCAATTTTTTTTTCCAGGTCAACTTACCATTTTTCTTTTTTTTCCTGTGCTTCTGTCACGCACCTGTCCTCGAGGCCCTACTTGTCCTCCATCAGGCTCCCAACTGCCAGTCCTCTGGTGTTCTCAGCTGTCCTGTGTTCTGCCTTCCCTCGGGCATACGTGAGTCAGAATGTCAGCACCATTAAAGGACCAGAGCGCCAAGTTTCTTAATACGGGTATCTCGACAAACACTTCAAAGTCACTGCAGAGGAAGTGTGAATGGCTTATTCCTGAATGGTTTATTTTTAGTCAGGTGCATTTGTAAGTCAGACAGATGGTGAGAATCTGGACATCTTTTTCCTTTCTTTTTTTCCGTTTGATAAATAAAAAGTATGGTTGTAGAACTCCTCTGTTCTACTTAGACACTAACTAAAGACTTCAGGAACACATATCTGAATCTATCTAATGGTGAATATATGATGAGAAAGTTCTATAGTAAGATTTGGCTTACTTAACTTAATGTGATTTTAAGAGATGCACCTCTTAAAATTGTGTCTTAAGAGATGCATCTCTTAAAATTGCATCCACATGAGTTCTAAACAGTAATTTTAAAACAAGTTTAAAAAACGTTTATTCAATTTTTAACAATGAAACCTAAGAATAATTTTTTCCCTGAGTTCTGTATTATCCAAACTAATGATCTAATTTTAATGATAATACAATGATAAATTATCCAAGTAAATGAAGGCAGAGAGGTGACTTAATAATTAATTAATTGTGTAATACATAAAAATGGACTATTCTTCCTCATTGTGATTCACTTTATCACTCCCTGAAGCAATACAATCTTTCCGAAGATGTAAACCATGGTGCCAAACCATGTCATTGCCCAGTCTAGTTATTATCTCACTCTCATTCTTCTTACAGCTTTGTTGGAAGAAAGTGTCCATGTTGACCAGAGCCTTCATTATGGCCTTCTCTCCTCTCCTGGTTTCTATGATACTGCACTTTCTTGGATTTCTTTCTAAATCTCTGTATGAGGCCTTGCCCGGCAATACCTTCTCACATCCAACTCTGGAAAATACTTAGGCTCTGCGCTCATGATGTGGTTGGATCTCTCGCTCTACTTCTTTGCCCAGTTAGCTCAGCACCATCTATATGTCTCTTTTGTGAGGGCAGGTAAGTGGTCCTTAAAGCCACTCTTGCCACTAGATTGCACGTTTGAAATTGGAAATTGATCATGGGGCTTTCCTTCTGAGCTTACCTGTGGACTAAAAATATTTTTCAATCTGAGTCTCAAGGTAGACACAACTAGTTAATTGGGGTTGAGAAAGAAGAAAAAACTGAGCTCCCATTCTAGATTATTTTTGCACAGAAAATTCTCAAATTATTATCTCCAGTCACTTATTCACAACTCTTCTCTCCTTGGATGTAACTCTGTCTTTTCAAATTTAAAATGAAAACATTTAAACAATTATTTTCCTTATTAAACATGTTTCCCTTTACAAATACCCCACTTGTGTCTAAATTAACATGTTTTTTCCTCTCAGTTCCCAGGCCAAAATCCTTGGTATTATTTGTTCATGTTTCATCCAAGTTATATACTCCAACTCTATTCTTTTTACTAAGTCTTTTTACTCACTTTAATATGCCTTAAGGGTTCTTGATTTACACTACCTCTTTCATAGTCCTACTTCTTTATTTGGATTATAATAAGGGTCTCTACCCACAGTATTTCTAGATTTCTCCACCCCACAAATTCAGCTAAGAGTGTGAAACCATAAGCCCTTTGATACATCTACTTTATAAAGTTAAAAAGATTCTCATTTTACAAAGTCCTCCCTGCTTTCTTTCCCTCCATAGAATGCTGGGAGGCAAAGCCTCTGCCTTCACCACATCCAGAGTGACTTCTGGTATTTATTTCCAATTTCCAGTCATGGATTAAACCAGAGAGAACATGGGGACAGGCAATGGTGTGATTTGTTACCTAACACAGCTACTGATCAAAGTCAGTAGGAGAATTTATGAGGTACTGCTACCCAGGAGCCCCTTTTCAGTGCACAAACTCAAACTAGTCTTTTATACACAGGTGAGATTCTTCCTCTTCATGAAACTGTTCCTTACTGACAGCCCAATTTCTTCCCTAACATGGCTGAGAACTATCCCTCAAGATAAGGCTAACCCCAGGATGTACTGTTCCACCTCAACTTTCTGTTGACTTCATTTACATATTTTTATTATAATTATGTTCTCAAAATATAAAGAATTGCCACAGCAAATGAGAGTGATGTACTATCAAGTTTTGAACAAGATTGTTAACTCACCTTGTCAGTTTCCCACTATCTTCTTGGATTCCCTGAATCTCAGAATAAATAATAAAAACTATTTCATAGTTCTGCTTGTTTTATCTTCTGGCTTTGCTCATTCTCCTCCAGGTCTAGTTTTTGTGCACTGCTTTTTCCAAATCTCTTTTTTAAGAGTTCTATTTCCATGGGTATCAGAACCTTGATGGCTTCCCCCTTCTTCTAAATCATAGCTCCCCACTCTGATCAATACTTCCAACACAATATCTCTCTGATAATCACATGTGTCTTTCTACCTTTTACTCCTATCAAAAGAAGCTTAGTGGTCATCTTTTCTCACCATGTGTGCTTTTTGTTTTCCTTTTATTTCATATATCTAGATTCCTCCAATATAAACCTAATAGAAGAATGATATTTCATCATGATAAACATATAAACTCTATAGAAAATCAACTAAGCTCTCCTTTCTTCAAAAGAGTGATAATATCTTAACAAAGCCTAATTGTTGTTATCTTGAAAAACATATGAACTATCATTTCTGTAAGTCAAAAAAGGCAAGTAGAGACAATGTTGCATGGTTCAAACTAATACATTCAGAAGCAATAGTTTTTAATCTCCATGGATGGTTTGACATCTTTATTCCATTTTCCCAATGTAATTTTCCATTTTCAAATTATTTTTTTGCTATTGGGTTGCTTCCTAAAAATTTTAGCTTCATTGTCACATGGCTATCTGAAAGGTTTAAAGGCAACTTGTTTTCTTATCATTCATCAATCACACTCTGAACTGTCAAGAGTAAGTTCTGACTAGATAGAAATAGAAGCAACATGCAATTCAGACAGTTTTTGATTCATTGTCTTGTGTAATTAGAATTGTACACTCTCTGCTCAATGGACATTCAGCTTTAAGTGCCCAGGTGCCACAATCCTTATGTGCCATCTATTAAGGGCAAGTTATTTACCTTCAGATGGTGACTCAAGAGAACTCTTCTATCTGTCTGTCTACGTATCTGGATAAAGAAGCATTTGTGTTATTCTACCCAGAGTGATCTGTTTAGAATAGCTATCCAAGTTCAAGTTCAAACAACTGATAAGTCACAGAACCTTAATAGAAGCTTAGGATGCCAAGTCTTCTTTCAATTATTCTACTTATCTACCTTTTTAATTCAACTTATCTGATGTTAATACATAGCATATACTTGTAACTCGTGTCAAAGAGTACACCTTACTATTACTGATATACTTATGCCCTGGTTTCCTTTTTCAGAACCAAATGCTCCTGAATAACAAATTTATCATGTCCTTTTTGTTTTTGTAAGCCAGACAGAAAGGATTAAAACAATTAAATACCATTTATTATTTACCATGTGCCATGCACTAGATACTTTTACATACAGTAACTAAGCTACTTTTAACAGTAACCCTATATGATAGATAGAATCTTTTCTACAGTTTATATGGGAGGAAACCAAAATTTAGAGTAGTTAAGTATTTTGCACACAATTAAAATCTTCTCTCAGCAGCCTCCATATTCTGTCTACCTGGGTAAAGAGGAGGTAAATTATCTCCTATTTCTATCCATGACCATAGTGTCATTCTTCCCCCTGTCTATGAGATGATTCCTCTGGAACCAAAGGATACCTTATGGTTTGGATAAAGTAAATTTAAAGAAAAACTTCTACATTATACCTAGGTTTCAGCAACATTTATCTACTGTTATTATCTACTCATTTGTCTCAGATTTATTGACGCCTTTGGTGTGCCAGGTGATATCATTAGGCACTATAAGAAATGTAAGTCTGGAGCTTAGAGTCCAGATTTCAGGAGCTTAGAGTCAGGTACAGGTGATGAAATGTACATGAATCTGAGATGTTCTTGAGACAGAGCAGGGAAAAACAATAAATATCATGCAAATGATGTTTAGTGCTTTAGAAACACCAATTTAGAAAGGGTAACTCTGGAGTTTTCTTAGAAACGTTAGTGAAAGAGTTCTCATTTGAGCGTGGCCTTCAGAGAAACAGGATTGAAGGACAGCCTCATGAATTGGTCTCACATACATTCCTTTAAAATGTGAGGTTGTGCACTTACTAAACTTGATTTCCATCTGGAATACCAGGCTTTAAACTCTCACCTGTGCTCAGGTCCTAGCGAAACAAAACACTCTAAATCATTTCCTTTCACTTTATGTCTTATATCAAAATGATCAGCCAAAGAGAACTAATCATCTAAATAAATGGCTTACAACTTGGGTACAGCCTTTCACTAAGAGCACATATAATAAGCTATTGAGTAGACAAAAAATATATTTGATTTAGCATAGCAAATCTGAGTGAGCTTAGTTATCAAATCACTAGGTATTTGAACATTTATTGAAAAAGACATTCCCCCTCCAAGAAAAAAAAACAAACTACATTACTTTCTCTGGCATTGACTCTCTTCACCAATAGTATTACGGAACAGTGTTTGGTAATTACTTATCAAGGAGAGCGCAGGCTAGGAACATTTAGTTAATTGATTACAACATTTCACATAGTTTTCATCTATTTACTATTTGTAGAAAAATGTGCCAGGCTCTATGGAAATATTCTTGTGAATCAGATATTTTATCTGCACATGAAAAATTTAATTCTGTTAGTAGATCTTAAGATCCCCATGACTATGTTTAGTACAGGGCTGGATGGGCGTATACAAGAGTGCTAAGATATAAACAATGAACAATGAAAGCACAAAATTTGGAAACATTTAAATTTGGCTGGAAGAATGAGCATTTAAGCTGGGAATTAAAAAATAGATATGATTTGTGTGTGTGTGTGTGTGTGTGTGTGTGTGTGTGTGTGTGTGCTTAAAGCATAAACAGCAGAGGGCATATGTTAAAGATAGGAAGTGTGGCACACCATTAAGAAAATGGAAACAATCTGTTCTGGCTAAAGCACTAGTCCTCAAACCACAGAATCTGCAAATTTGTTAAACTGAAGATTCCTGGTCTCTAGGCCAAAAATGTCTAAGTTAGTAGGCTTAAAGTGAGACCCAAGAATTTGCATTTTTGACAAGTAATCTCCCAGTCTCTCTACATACCTCACTTTAAGAAAGAAGAGGCTAACTCACAGTGATTCAAACCCTGACTGTCTATTAGAATAATCTAGTGGAGAATTTTTTATTTTATTTTATTTTATTTCCATAGGTTTTTGGGGAACAGGTGGTATTTGGTTACATGAGTAAGTTCTTTAGTGGTGATTTGCAAGATTCTAGTGCGCCCACCCAGCACCCCAAAAGCCAGTTCCCAGTCTTACTTAATTAGGAATTCCACCAGGAATGGAACCCTGGTGTGTAGTTTGTTAAAACCTCTCCAGGTGATTTTAAATGTAGCCTGGAGCAGAACTGCTAGAAGGTGAGTGGTGGGAGGAGAGGGGAAAAAAAAAAAAAGTAACTTGGAAGCAGTTTGTGGAGGACTTCTATGCCACGCTCAGAAGTTTGAATTTTACTCCGTGGATAATAGAGAATCATGAGAATTTCCTGAGTGCCTGTAATTATAACTGTTTAGGAAGTTGCCCTGAAGTGCAGAGGAATTGGAGATGGGAAATACTAGAGGCACCCAGAGCCCTTTTAAGAACTCTGCAGTTGGCAAGTGATCCCTCTTATCTTCTGCCAGCTTAACAGTAAATTGTTTCAACTTTGCTGAAAACCAATTTGCAAATGTAAATCATAAGCTTAAAAATCTACTCTTTGACTAAGTAATGCCTCTTCTAGATCCCATGGTAAGTAAATAAAATTATGAGTTTCACGTTGAAGCTAAGTGAAGAAAAAATTTTAAAAAAGAAACAAAATTACTGACAAACATTTGAAATATAAAGACAGTTTTTATAGAAAAAAAGAACTTTGAAAAAATGAATATATGTATTAATGAACAACTACTATGATGCCCTTGAAATTAATTTTGAAGAATATTTCAAGGGAGGAAAAATAGTTATTCACTGAAACGAATAGCATAATATGAAAAATTATAGATATTTAAAAATAAAATTTGGATCTGATATGGTTTGGCTGTGTGGCCCCACCCAAATCTCATTTCGAATTGTAATCTCCATGTGTTGAGGGAGGGATCTGGTGGGAGGTGATTGGATCTTGGGGCAGTTTCCCTCATGCTGCTCTGGTGATAGCGAGGGAATTCTCAGGAAATCTGATGGCTTTAAAAATGGCGGTATCTCCTGTGCTCGCTCCCTCCCGCCTCAAGTGAAGAAGCTCCTTGTTCTGCTTCACCTTCTGCCATGACTGCAAGTTTCCTGAGACCTCCTCAATCATGCGAAACTGTGAGTCAATTAAACATCTTTTGTTTATAAATTGCCCAGTCTCAGGTAGTATCTTTATAACAGTGCGAAAGTGAACTAGTAATATCTTTCTTCAGGCACAACTTTTTTCTGTTTTGTTTTTAAATCAGTAAAAGAAACTGGGTCCTAGAAGCTACAGTGGTCTAAGCAGCAGCAAGTTTATGCATTCATTTTTGTTTTTGTTAAAATACGTTAAAATTGTCACACTGCTGGCACACCTCATTTGCATGAAATTCTGTACCACACTTACTAATTGTAGTAAAGTTTCCCCCTATCTCAGGGAAAAGAAAAAAAACTACTCTGGAATGTAATTTTCTCTGAGATCTAACCGAACTTTGTTAAGTGGATTGGGACAAGATTATAAATGATATGAAAAATAACATTTTGACATTTGTCCATCAAATTTAAGAAAATAATTTGCCTATATAATTTTTCGTAATTTTTTTAAAGATAATATATTCTACCCTCATGTGGTTCTCAGATTTAAACCATAATGAACAGGAAAAAAAAAAAGGGAAAGAATGCAACTGAGTGCTAAGGCAGAACATTGTGGCAGAAGAAATTAATGAAGGTGGAGTATATACTGAATATCAAGTGCAGAATTTCATAGAGCAAACAAGATAACCGTCTATATTTTTCACATATGCAGGCAAAGTGGATTTTGCAATTGCCAGTTACGTTAAATGCACTAAATAAAACTCCTAACATTGATACTATAAGGCACCCCCTTAAGTTTTCCAGTCTGCAACTGTGCATAATTTTAAAATGTTTTTTTGAAAAACATTTTAAGTTTAAATTGGATTCCCAACCTTATTTTTAAAAAGTCACAGAAACAAGAATAGAGAGAAATCTAGCCATGTTTTAACTGGTAGAATTTCGGACGGATATTTGTTTTGTATTTTCCAATTTTTTCAAGTGTGTCTATGTTATTATGTTCAGAAAAAAAAACGTTAAAAAATAAGGCTATTGCAATGGTTTGGTGAATGATGATACATGTGTTGCTTTGTTTGTAAGTCTAGGATAGTCTAGCCTGAGAGCCTGCTATTGAGTAGAACTTGTAGAATGATGGATCATGAACCAAATTGAACAAAGAGAAGCTTCACTCTGGGAAATCTGTACCTACCAACTAGGAGTCAAGATAGGAAAATATAAGGGTATAAGATAGGGAAATTACTAAGAAACAGTCCAGGAATTTTAGTCCAGACACCTTGCATACTACTGAGTAAAAGGTGAGTCTTTAAAGAATTTGCACCAGTTGGATACAGTCTGAACTAAAGCAGTTGCTAAGACTGAAAATGTGCAAGCCATCACCAAGGTAGACAAGACCTGATTCACTGGATATGGGAGGTTAGGAATGCAAGGATTTAGAGATGACACTGAAGGTTTGAATATCAGTTACTGGGAGGACTAACATTTTTTCTTTAAATAAAGATGGAAGATACAGGAGGATGCCCAGATTTGGGAAGAAAAATAGTTTGTGTAGATTATCTTGAAGTGGAGTGGCCATGGAAATATCCAGGTATATATGTAACTGTGAATCTGAAGATCTGAGGAAGTCTGGACTTATGATGAAAATTTGGTAGTTGTCTGCATTGAGGGTAGAACTGAAACCATGGGAAACAATGAAGTCATGAGATAGTGAAAGGAAAGAAGAAGGTGGAGGAGCACATTATGGAACATCCAGTTTTAGGGAGTAGGCAAATAAGAGGCAGTGAAAGAGGCAACAACAAATCAGAAATAGGCAGAGAATTAAGAAAACACAGGCTTATGAAGGTCACTGCAGGAGAAACGTTTAAAAGTTGGTGGTTGAGGTAAAATTCTAAACAAAAATAAAAAAGCCTAAGGACTGGGGTGACCATTTAATATTGGCAATTACGTTTACTAGGGATTTAAAGAAAAATAGATCTGGTAAAATAGTTGAGCAAAGCCAGGTTGCAAGCATTGAGTGGATCAAAGGAGAATAAGTGGTCAGAGGGTCGACCACTCCTCCACATTTGTCAGTAAGAAGAATGAAAGCACTCTGATAGTAAACTATAGAGGAGGAAGATAGTAGATTAATAGTTGTATAGTAATCCTAGGTTTTTACCTATTAAAAACTAGCATGCTGGGTTTCTTTTTGTCTTTTCTATCATTGTGTCCAGCCAGGAAGGTGGAATCTGAAAATGGAATACTGTATGGTATGCTTCGAAAATACCTTAAGATTGTCAGCTTCTATACAGAGATTTGGAGACTACATATAACACTAAACTCTCAGTTATGTTTCTTTTATCTTCTTTTAATCAGTTTTTTTTCAGCTTCTTTGCAGGACAGAACACTAAAGCTTTATGACTTAACTAACACACAGTGCACATTATGATGAGGTGACATAAACACAAATTTGAATTTATTTTTTTATGACTTAAAATCTTTGTGTAATAGCAAAGTTGCTTTACACATACAAATTTTATTATGATTGGAGTAATATCTTCACAATTTCATTACTCAGGCCCATATAACCTATTATGCTAAAATGTGTTATCGATAAGCTAATATCTATTTTAGTGCTTCCTTTTGGTTCAGCTTTGAACAATTGTCACATGGAATGGAGAAAATTTGACTAGTAGAAGTTTAGAGCTGGAGGGGAACTTGGTACCCCTGACATAACATACTCCGTTTGCAATTAAGAAAACCATGGCAAAAAGAGATAGATATTACTGATTTCAAGTTGCTTACTTGTAAAGTTGCCGAAAAATGTGTACTCATGAAATACTAAAACAGGGAGATAATATTTCACACTAGAGTATTTTTTAATATATTATAAAAGTTTCAGTGGATAAAGTGGTGTTAGAGCTATTCTGAAAGAAGTTGTAGGAATCTGAATTTTATGACACTTAATATTGAGAACCATTAAATGTTTTAAGCAGTAAAGTTATATGATGAGTTACACATTTAATGGTGACTAGTTTTGGGAAGACAGAAATTTTATAGTCAGGTATGCCCTACTAAAACATTATTGTATTCCAAATATGCAATGAGGGTCTAGGCTAGAATTTAGAACTTTAAAATGTATTTCTTTTTAAAGTAACAGCAATATTAATCCAAGTCTAAATAACATATTGTTTTTATTCCATGTAACTAGAGTAGCAGTATAGTAAAAACAACATAATAAAATATTTTTAAATATTAGCTATGTGCTAGATGCCTAAGCAGATTGCCTTTAATTTATCCAACAAGCCTTTATTATCCTGAAACCTTCCCAGCATCTATTAAATTTAAAGCCCTTTGTCCATTTTAACTCAAGGTACCTCCACATTTCTTTGGAAACTGTACCTACTAACACTAGCAGTTGTGGACAATTGAGAGACTTATGTATCACTGTTTTAATATATGTGAACATAAGGTACGATCACTTTTTTTGTGAAGACAATTTTGTGAAAATATAAAAGGGTGATGAAGTAGAGCACAGTGTTGATGGTGCCTGCTTCATTAAGGACAGCACATTCCTGGGGGTCTAGAGTAAGAATGCAGTGGTATGGGAAGTATAGGCACCTGTCCTCCATCATCATCATGAATGCCTCTCTGGTCCATGTCTCACCTGTCATTATAGTTCTTTGTCTCAATGACAAGTACCTCTTAACTACATATGTGCCACTGTTGGCCTCATGGAAACCATTTCAATAGTGGTACGTGTTCCAAGAGTTCCCAGGCAAAGCTGTTCTGGGCTCTGTGTGCCTTGCGTGCTGAAATATAGATAATAGCTTTGTGCTTTTTTTTTTTTTTCCTAACTCAGGAAGTTTTAAGTGCCACATTTTGTAAGATAGTGGCTGATCTAACTATGAGGACCTTATTTCTAACCCATTGATTTAGCTAGTAGGAATCATTATTTCTATGTATTTTCTATTTAAATTTTTAAATTTTAAATTGGCTATATCCCTCCCACTGTTCAGTTGTGGTATACTCAGAAAAATCTAAACATTAATCATACAAGGTGAATAAAAGCATAACTATAAAGGCAAAGTTCTCAAAATCATATAATTAGTTTCAGAGTCAAATATTAAAATTATTTGGATTACCCAGTCCTTAAAATTGTCAACTCTTTTAGCTATACAACTTGAGTATAGATTGCAGTTGCTGTGATTATATTTGCTCCTAATTATAATTTTTATTAAGGATAGTTTGGATTTAAGAGAGGCCACACTTTTTTGGTTTGGTTTTCTGGGAAGAGTAACTTTGTTTTAATCATTAACAGAGTTGCAAGTGTAAGTTAACTTTCGTATCTGGCATTTACTCTACCTTAATATAAGGTAGAGAAATAGCCTGGCCTAGTCATTGTTATATGGGTTAAATCTCTCATCTGCTTCTCAAAATAATGCATCTATCTACCATGGACCCACATTTAATGCCTATCTCATTTGAGGGGTGTGTGTGTGTGTGTGTGTATGTGTGTGTATGTGTGTGTGTTGTTAGAAAAGTTCTTAAAACTTTTCAGTAATAAGCCATTATCATAGTAGAAAGAAAGCATACTTTTAAGCTTTGCCTCTTGAGCAAACTGAAGGCCCATTTTAGATCTCAGGCTCACAGGGTCCAGGGAGGTGATATTTAATAAGTTTCTAGAGGTTAAGGCCAATGGTGTGACCTGTGTTCAGTGACTCATTGTTGTTAGAAATTTGCCTCCAGTGATCTATTTGAGAACCAGGCTAGTTTTACATTTTTTATAAGGTCATTCTCCAAGACCTATGCCTCTTAAAAAAAGGAAAATTCTTCACGGTCATATTATTATATTGGAATTCAAGTGCAGGTCTCTGGCCTAGTGTATATCTTCTCTGCCTTCAAAAAACTGTTTTCTTTGTGACTTAAAAAATGAAAAATCCATATCTTTTTTGACTGAAGATAACTTTATACTTTTAACCTATATTTCAGAAAGCCAATCTTTAGAGAAAATGAAATATTTTAAGGGAAAACTAAAGCATAGCCATGCTCTGCAAACTTTTAAAACATTAGTTTCAGGCTGTGATTGCTGTTTTCTATTTGACTTTCAAGTTAGTTTTAATTGGCATAATTTTACTATTTAATAGTTAAGCATTTTTTTAATAATAAGATATAAAGGTGAACAATAAAAAGAACAAAAATAAGTTTATGTTATAAAAAATAAAATTAAAGAGGAAGAATTTTGTATGGGTAGGGTGATGGCAAAGTCAAATAAAATTCAACCACACCATACAGAAGAGCTAGATTAAATCTTGAATGCTTTGTGTTACGTGAGTAGAAAAGAATGATCGCTCTGAATACTTTATAACCTCTAAGAGGAGAGAATGTTGCTGCAGCAATATCTGGGAAATACAATCAGTGTGTCTGAAGCCAGCATCTATTTATCTTAAATTAATCATTTTTTTTTCTGAGTAAGTGGATGATAATCCTGGTGCTGGGTGCCAGTGTCTTTTTATTCATGCCATAGATAAAACTAGAGCACTCCTATGTTGGTGAGAGCTATACAATACAAAAGGTCTCAAGCTGTAACTCTTCTGTAAGATTATAGACAGCTTTATAGATTTGCAACATGATTTTGGGATTGAGAATCAGTAAATAATTGTATCTAAAGTAAAATCTTGTGCATAATCAAGTCTATTTTACCTTTCTGCCCTCAGGAAAGTATAAACAAGGTATTCTAAATATAAGGCAGTAATTTTTCTTCTTCATTATTAAATTCTCTGGTCAAAGAAGTTCCTACAACTGAAGTGGAAAAGCCTTCACTAAATTGTAAACTGTCTGGTTGCTGTTAGTGTGAGCCATAGGGTGAAGAGCAGCATGGTGCCTCTGATGCAGTGAACCTCAAATGACACCACATTGAAGGCCCAGCAATCAGGCTTACATTCAAATATGTACTCACTTTATCTCTTCTGAAAAGAAAACCAGGCCAGGCACGGTGGCTCATGCCTGTAATCCCAGAACTTTAGGAGGCTGAGGCGGGCGGATCACCTGAGGTCAGGAGTTTGAGACCCGTCTGGCCAACATGGTGAAAACCCTTCTACTAAAAATTAGCCAGGCATGGTGGCATGCGCCTGTAATCCCAGCTACTCAGGAGGCTGAGGCAGGAGAATCACTTGAACCCAGGAGACGGAGGTTGCAGTGAGCCGAGATTGCACCATTGCACTCCAGCCTGGGGGACAAGAGTGAGACATCATCTCAAAAAAAAAAAAAAAAAGTAAACCAGGAAAGTAGTCTGGATTTTTTTTTAAGTAGGTCTTCTTTCCTAGGCATTGTCAGTAAGTATTATATTATCATCTTGTCTAGGGTAGAGGGTAGAGTAGCAAGAAGGAAGTGAGATCTCCTCACCTCTAAATTGAACAGTGTACTGGGATTTAACCATCTTCTAACTCTCGCATTATGTCTCAAGAATATATGTGGATATACAAATATTTGTCAGTAGACATTAGACATTGTGATTAAAAGCTGTGAAAAATATGTAAAATACAATGAAATTTTGGTCCTCCTGGAAAAGCATCTAAAAAGAATTCAGAAAGGAATGGAGCAATGACTCAACATATCAGATTTAGTTAAGTGGTACTGATAGCAGGATGAAAGTTAACCTAACTTAAAAATTAGGTAAGGCTATGTGGCTTATAAGAGTTAAGAACTCAACCATTGGTAAGTTATGAAATCCCTTTTATAGACTATGCATAGGGCTCAAGGTGACCCTTAGTCACACTGACAAAATAGTCAGCAACTGGGTTGAAATCCCAGATCAATATAGATCTTCAATTGGCTAAGAAGGTAACCTCAAAACTGTTTGTAGTGATATCATTTCCTTCTTAGATAAAATTCTTTTAACTCTGGAGGATTTGTAATTTATAGTAGAAGTATCTAAAATAACTAAATTTGGCAGCATATTTTTGTATTAAGAGGAGGTGTACACACTTGGTATTTTAAGGATTTCTAATGTGAAAGAATCTGCCTTACTAAGTAACAGGTTAGCTTTTTAATTCCATCTTAAAATGCATAACTGAGTGATTTAGATCTATAATTTTAAATAGAAATCTTACCAAGTTTTATATAACATTGAAACATTTAAGATTTTATGTATGTATACAGAATCTATTATTGCTTGTCATCTATCTATCTATCTATCTATCTATCTATCTATCTATCTATCTATCTATCTACCTATCTATCTACCTACCTACTTACTTACCAATCTACCAACCTACCTACCTATCTACCAACCTACCTACCTATCTACCTTCCTTCTGAGCTATTTGATTTGTCAGCCAGGCAATTTTAAAGGAATTGTCTTTAAAGGAAGGATTTTTAAAAATTGGGCCAATGATCAATTGAAATCCTCTTATACTATTAAAATATGCTAGACTAATAATTTATAAATTGATTTTAAAAACTTGAGGGTAAGTCAGGTTTTGAATTTGCTAATTTGACAAATTTATATTAAGCTTTAAAACCAAAGTAAACCCATGAATTTTTTTATGCATAACAGCTTCTCTCAAGGACACAGAAACACTTTTTATTGACAGTATTGATTTGTCTTCTCCCTTATGAGAATGTGAGGAGATAGAAGTCAACACACATAGTTAGTTAAGAGTGAGTGCTTCCTGCCCCAAATGTTCCCAGTCTTTCAGCACAGTTGCTTCTCTTAGCAGTGGAAGGTGGCCATCTTCAATATCAGTAACCATCCTGACCTTTCTGAGACCAAAGGCCAAGTAGCGATGGACCAACCTGAGAAATTGCTCTCATGTATTCATGCCAAGTTTCCACTCCTTTATTGTTTTATATGACACAGGTAATATACATTTCTTATAGAACATTTAGAAAACAAACATAGCCAACAAGAAGATGATATTCACTTGTATCTCGTAACCCAGATAAATTAACCACTACCAATGTTCCGTGATGCTCCTCTGTAATTGCAATTGCGTACAGATGTGTTTAGTTTGAAATATAATGAGTTTTAGTTAACAGGTATCCCTGATAATGTTGCACACTCTCACTCACACAGTCATGCTTTTTTTTTTCTGCCTTGTATTATAATTATGGTTTTCTACCTTGCTTTTACCACTTAGTAACATGTTATGAATTCCTGTTATTAGTAAAATAAAAATAAGAACTAAAAGTACTTTAAAATATATTTAAAGACAATGTAAAAGTGTATAAAAATCATTAAAAAGAGCTGAGCCCAGGGCCTCATGCCTGTAATCCAGCACTTAAGGAGGCCAAGGCAAGTGGATTGCCTGAGCCCAGGAGTTCGAGACCAGCCTGGGCAATATGGCAAAACCTCATCTCTACAAAAGTCCAAAAAAAAAAAAAAATTATCAAGGTGTGGTGCTGCACACCTGTAGTCCCAGCTACTCGAGAGGCTGAGGTGGAAGGATCACCTGAGTCCAGGGAGATTAAAGTTTCAGTAAGCTGTGATTGCTTCACTGCACTCTAGCCTGGGCAGCAGGGCGAGACCCTGTCTCACATTTAAAAAAAAAAAAGCATAAAAAAGTATTAAAGCGTAAACAATAAAGCAATAGCTTTATGTTTAATGGCTGCATAAATTCCAATGTACAAATGCACTTTGTTAAATAACCTTCCAATCTTCAGCATTTTAAATTGCCTACTTTTTTGTTAAAATAAGCAACAGTCTATGAACATCTTTGAATCTTAGCTAATTCATTTTACAATTTAAGTAATTTCAGATGTAAAATATGTGGCAAAATGATTATGTATTTTGTAAGAGTTTGACAAATATTTTCAAGTTATCCTACAGAAAGATGAACCAGTTTATGCCCAGGAGTTGCTTCTTAGTTAAAACCTTGATAGGATAAACTGAGAAACCCACCAAAATTAGAATGCCCATCTCAGAATTAAAAAAAAAAAACATTAAAAAACAGACTAAATAGATACTAGTTTTGTTATCAGAAACAGTTGAGTTTAAGGTGTGAGGTGCTCTTATGTTAATTCTCTGACCAAACCTAGCAAAGATCCTGCCATTACATCAAAGTGTTGCACTGGGGTTGTCAGAAATACCAACTGTATGGCTGTTGGTTTGCAGCCAATAAACAAGCAAAAAAGCTCAACATCACTGATCTTTAGAGAAAATTAAAACCACAATGAGATACAATTTCACACCAGTCAGAATGACAATTATTAAAAAGTCAAGGAACAACAGATGGTGCGGAGAGATACGAACACTTTTACACTGTTGGCGGGCATGTAAATTAGTTCAGCTATTGTGGAAGGCCAAGAACCATAAATACCATTTGACCTAGCAATCCCATTACTGTGTATATACCCAAAGGACTATAAAACATTCTATTATAAAGGTACATGCACATATATGTTTACTGCAGCACTATTTACAATATCAAAGATATGGAATCAACCCAGATGCCCATCAGTGATAGATTGGATAAAGAAAAGGTGGTACATATACACCTGGAGTACTATGCAGCTATAAAAAAGAATGAAATCATGTCATTTACAGGGGCATAAATGGAATTGGAAGCCATTATCCTCAGCAAACTAACACAGGAACAGAAAACCAAATGCCGTATGCTCTCATTCATAAGTAGGAGCTGAACAATGAGAACATATAGACATAGGAAGGGGAATAACACACACTAGGGCCTGTGAGACAGGGGAGGGAGAGCATCAGAAGAAAATAGCTAATGTATGCTGGGCTTAATACTTAGGTGATGAGTTGATAGGTGCAGCAAACCACCATGGTACACATTTATCTCTGTAACAAACCTGCACACCCTGCACATGTACCCCAGAACTTTAAAAAAAATTGAGAACTTTTTGATGATCATATACCATGTAATATCTTTTGTCGATAAATTCTCATATACACTGGAAATCTCCGCTTCTTGTTACAGTAGCCTCTACCAGAGTAATTAAAATCATGTAGGAGTGGTACAACCTTTCTTAACACAGCCAATATAGATTTCATGGTATAATAGTTGAGTACTTAGGCACCAGCCAATAATCCATCCCTATGAATCCAAGGAAGATTGTCCTTCATCCATTCCAAAGAAATTGACCTTTATCCAGTCCAAAAGTCATTTAATTTTGTCTTTAATATTTCTGGTAATATAGTGTCCATTACCCATGTGAAAAATTAGTGTGCACTTAACATCCATTACGATGGCTACTATCAAAAAAACAGAAAATAACAACTGTTGACAAGAATGTGGAAACATTGGAATGCTTGTACACTGTTGATGGGATTGTAAAATGGTGCAACCACCATGGAAAACTGTATGGAGGTTCCTCAAAGCACAAAAATAGATTTACCAGATGAGTCAACAATCCCACTTCTAGGTATGTAGCCAAAAGAATCAAAAGTAGGGTCTCCAAGAGATATTTGCCCACCCATGTTTATACCAGCACTATTCACAATAGCTAAGAAGTGGAAGCAACACAACTGGACACTGATGAATGAATTGATTTAAAAATGTGGTGTGTGTATGTATATATATGTACATGTGTATGTACGTATATATACATATACACAATATTATTCAGCCTTAAAAAGGAAGGAAATCCTGTCACACACTACAACACGAATGAACCTGGAAGACATGCCAAGTGAAATAAGCCAGTCACACACACACACAACCAAATACTGTTTGAGTCCACATATATGAGGTATCTAAATTAGTCAAATTCCTAGAAACAGAAAGTAGAATGGTGGTTACTAGGGACCAAGGAGAGGGGAAAATGGGGAGTTGTTTAATGGATATAACATTTCTATTTTGCAAAAAAAAAAAAGTTCTGGAGATGTGAATGTACCTCACACTATTGAACTGTAAACTTAAAAATAATTAAAATGGTAAATTTTATGTTAGGTGGTTTTTACCACAATTAAAAAATGGTGAATTACATGTAATGTCAATTATATTTTAATTTTAAAATTAAAAAATAGTTTCCCATAAATCTTATATAGAGTTTTAAAAACATGTTTAATTCTCTCACGCCTATAATACCAGCACTTTGGGATGCTTAGGCGGTTGGATCATGAGGTCATGAGATCGAGACCATCCTGGTTAACACGGTGAAACCCTGTCTCTACTAAAAATACAAAAAATTAGCCAGGCGTGGTGGCGGGCGCATGTAGTCCCAGCTACTCCGGAGGCTGAGGCAGGAGAATGGCGAACCTGGGAGGCGGAGCTTGCAGTGAGCCGAGATCACGCCACAGCACTCCAGCCTGGGCCAAAGAGCGAGACTCCATCTAAAAAAAAAAAAAAAGAAAAGAAAAAAATGTTTAATTCTCTGTGTGCGGTTTGCTAAATATTTTTAAGTGTTATTATATTTTCTTATGTAGACTAAGGTTTCTTACTGTAGTTGTTTTTACATGGCATCAATTTCTTCATGTTTTTGATATAAACTCTTTTCTCGCTACTAATATATGAGATCCATATTATTCTGTTGAAATTCAACATAACAAAATGTATCTTGGATAAAGTCTAGACATAGGAAAGAAGTTTATTGTGTTAAATACTAGAAACTTAGGACAATTTTTCAAGTCATACCCGTCCTTTTTGAAATGTAATTTGGAAATATTCTTAAGATCCACATAAACTTATATATTTTCTTATCTACAGGGTATTTTATCCATTAAAGATGCTACATTAGTTATATAGTTGTTATACACTTAACTACTCTAAGACCCTTAGCAACAGTCCATGCATAATTGCTTGGAGTTTTAAATGCTAAAGAAAAATGGTGAATTTGCACTCACTAGGTTTTGTAGTGAATTCTTGACATGCATAGCCAATGCACCATCAGGCTAAATAGTACTCATGAAGAAACAGAGATAAGACACTTCTGGAAGTGTGAAAATTCTGATTTGAGAGAAATGTATGCAGAATTGATATTTATAGTACTTATTTTCTGGCTCTAATATGTTATATATTCTGCTCTTGGATATTGGCTAATTATCATGTCAGTAAATGCTGTATCTGGAAAACATTTTGTCAAGTGAATAAGACTTTTCATATTTCTGGTAAAAGAACAGTATATATACTTTTATACATGTTTCCAAAGATCAAACAGCTTTAAAAAGGTGTACATCTGGCTATTATTTAACCAGACTGAATAATGCATGAAAGAATGTAGACTCTTTGGAATAATGTGTTATTTTAATTCTTACATGACTCTGTTACAGAGCAAGTTTATTTCCATTCTGAGGTTTGATGTATAATCTTTCTAGTCATAGAACCATATGAACCAATCACTGTCTCTTACCTCCCTTCAAACACACACACACACACACACACACACACACACACACACACACACAGAAAGTTTAATGATAATAGCACTTTTTCTACTCATATACTCATAGATTATGATGAGACTCAGTTGAGGCAACTTAGTTCATTGAAAAGACCATGGATTTCATGTAAAGACAATTTGGGGTTTAAATTTGGCCTCTATATTTTATTATAATTGGAACATTAAGCTATGAATGAAATCTTAGACAATTTTCTAATTTAAAAAATGGGAATAGATGCCAATGCCTACCTAAAGTTGTTGTGTAGAGCAAAATTTGATAATATTAAGTGTCTAATGTAAACTCTGACATCCAATAAAAGTTTCTTCCTTCTCCTTCATTTCCTACAGAAAGATTTGAATTTTTTACTTTTGTTTCCCCTTACTTTTCTTTCATCTTGAAAAAACACAAACAAACATGTCAAGTTTATAACTGAAGACAGATAAGAAAAATTTTGAATAGTACCCTGTTTATAATCCTGAGCTTTTAGTGGAATTATTTCTGAGGATTAATCTTGTCCTGCAAATTTCTTGGTTTAAAAATAATATATATATTCTTATATATACATATATGTGTGTGTGTGTGTATATATTCTTACATATATGTATATATGTGTTCATACATATATGTATTATGTATATTCTCACATATATGTATGTATGGCATAGATAAATTACAATAAAAGAATATTCTAAATGTTATATATAATAAAATATATAAAATATATATTTTTATATATTCTCTATATATAACATTTTAAAAGTTATTTTATTATTTAATTGTAATCTCTTATCTATGCTATCCATATGATTCTGTAGAAACTCAGTATAACAAAATATAACTTGGACAAAAGCTAGGCATAGAATACAATTTATTGTGTTTAATACCAGAAACCCAGTACAGTTTTTCAAGTCAAGTTTTTTCCATATTAGAATACCAGTTAAAATTAGTGTGAGGCTGTGTTATTATTAGGATATGTATATAACTATATGTTAGGTATGTTATTAGAATATATTATATATATTATTATTATGATATATAATGTCCCTTGTATGTAACCAATCTCACATTGTTGCTGTTCCTTCCCCCTTGTGGGCACCTTTCCCCACTTGGTCATGCTCTGATATCCCATGCAAGGTAGCTCCTCCTTCCCAATGTCCTCCTTCACCTTCTCAGGCTCTGACACCTTTCTGACACTTTCACTGTGTAGTTCCACCCACTGGATAACACTTTCTCAGCCTGCTTAGGTTCCCACACACCGCACTCGGCTTTCCTCTTTTGCATATGTGTACCTCCCTGCTCTTTTGGGGCTCTGTCTTCCCATGCCAAGCTGCCTTCCTCTCCCACTGCATGGTCACCATTTTTAACCTGCTCATGCTCTGTCAGCACACTCTAGGACACCCATTCACATAGCCCTCTTTACCTTTGTCAAGCTCCAGAATCCCATTTTGGTCATTCTTTCTCAAAATGTGGACACTTTCCACCCTTCTTGGTTTCTGTCACCCCGTACCAGGCCTCTTGCTGTTGAATGCTCTTGCTATCCTACTCCGACTCTAAATATTTCACACCAGGCAATTCCTCCCTCTTTTGGCAGGATATCCTCCGCACCCAACTTCAAATTTAACACCCCTCATTGAGCTTTCCTCTTGCATGAATGTCCTCATCACCCTGCTCAGACTCCGTTACCCCATGCCAAGCTGCACTCACATGCAGATTCCCTTCCTATTACACTGGGTTCCAAATCCCCTTTGCTGTGCCTTCTTCCTGTGTGGATGCTTCATTCACCTTGCTTAGACCTAAAACCATAAAAGCTGCAGAAGAAAACCTAGGCAATACCATTCAGGATATAGGCATGGGCAGGGACTTCGTGTCTAAAACACCAAAAGCAATGGCAACAAAAGTCAAAATTGACAAATGGGATCTAATTAAACTAAAGAGCTTCTGCACAGCAAAAGAAACTACCATCAGAGTGAACAGGCAACCTACAGAATGGGAGAACATTTTTGCAATCTACTCATCTGACAAAAGGCTAATATCCAGAATCTACGATGAACTCAAACAAATTTACAAGAAAAAAACAAACAACCCCATCAACAAGTGGGCAAAGGATATGAACAGACACTTCTCAAAAGAAGACATTTATGCAGCCAACAGACACATGAAAAAATGCTCATCATCACTGGCCATCAGAGAAATGCAAATCAAAACCACAATGAGATACCATCTCACACCAGTTAGAATGGCGATCATTAAAAAGTCAGGAAACAACAGGTGCTGGAGAGGATGTGGAGAAATAGGAACACTTTTATGCTGTTGGTGGGACTGTAAACTAGTTCAACCATTGTGGAAGTCAGTGTGGTGATTTCTCAGGGATCTAGAACTAGAAATACCATTTGACCCAGCAATGCCATTACTGGGTATATACCCAAAGGATTATAAATCATGCTGCTATAAGACACATGCACAGGTATGTTTATTGTGGCACTATTGACAATAGCAAAGACTTGGAACCAACCCAAATGTCCAACCATTATAGACTGGATTAAGAAAATGTGGCACATATACACCATGGAATACTATGCAGCCATAAAAAATGATGAGTTCATGTCCTTTGTAGGGACATGGATGAAGCTGGAAACCATCATTCTCAGCAAACTATCTCAAGGACAGAAAACCAAGTACCGCATGTTCTCATTCATAGTGAGAACTGAACAATGAGAACACATGGACACAAGAAGGGGAACATCACACAGTGGGGCCTGTTGTGGGATGGGGGGATGGGGGAGGGATAGCATTGGGAGATATACTTAATGTAAATAATGAGTTAATGGGTGCAGCACACCAACATGGCACATGTATACATATGTAACAAACCTGCACCTTGTGCACATGTACGCTAGAACTTAAAGTATAATAAAAAAATTAAAAAAAAATTCCACCATCCCTTAAAAGGCTGCTCTCTCCATAGGCAGTTAGCGCTACCAACCTAATGGCTCTATGGTGGAATTGTCCATGAAGGGAAAGGAAAGAAAGGGAGAGGATACAGAAAAGATTATTAGTGACTTGCTCTCTATTTTAAATATTTAATTGCATTTATAAAAGTAAATATTTTATTCTAGAATAGCTTCAGGTTTGCAGAAGGCTTGCAAAGGTTGTTCAGGGAGTTCTGGTATACCCTGCACCCAGTATACCTAAGATCTTCCATTGGTGTGATATATTCATCACAACTAATAAACCAATATTATGGTACATTTTGTATCAACATCCATAATTGACTATGATTTCCAGTAACATTTTTAAAGAGGAGAAAAGGATTTCATCTGTTTTTTTGCATTTATCCTGTATCTTACAATTTCCCCCCCTGAACTGAACTGTTATTCCAATAGAGGAACACTGAAATTACTGGTGTGATAGGAATTCCCTAGGATATTGTCCTCCTCTTTATAGATTTTTGTGGGGAGTTGCTATTGTAACCTATAATCTGCAGCCCAGCATTCCTTTTTTACTGGACAGATAATTTTGTGAGATGAGGCCTGTAAAGTGCTTGGCATTGTGCTCAGGCCACTTTATTTCTCAGGCACTGGAGCAGAGTGCTAGGGGACTATAGGTTTTTCAGTGACTGTAAAAGAAAAAGTTTGAGATGAGGAAAAGAAATTGTCCCTGGAACCTATTTTTAAAACAGCAAAATCTATAATAAATGAATAAATGTTTTATTAAATGTCCATGAAGCATAACATTATATCAACTTCATGAGCTATTAAACTTATTAGTCACAAAAATGTCATTATACTTGAAAAAATATCTGTAGGTTAGATTTTCTTCACCAAAAATCTCGAGTTGGCATAAAGTCATTGCTGATAAATTAGGGATTATCCTAATTAAATAAATAACATATAGCCAAAAATTTTGGAAGCAAAGGGGATAATAATTATGTCCATTTTTTTCTTAGAAAAATATATATTAATGAAAGATAGTCAATTTTAATATACCGTTATGATGCACATGAAAGTAATAAAAATGTCCCACCTACAATGTAGTGAGTGATCAGCAAATTTTACTTCTCTTTCTTTCTTCTATAAACAAATATTTTGTATCATGGGGAATTATAAGATAATAATGTAGAAAATGCATGCATTGGCAAATTCCAACAGGAGATTTGATTATTTGAGTTCATTTTGAGGGGATTCCATAGCATAGGATATAGGAAAAATAAACTTAGACTTGTAGTCAGAAGCCCTGGGTGACTTTCTCCTCTGCCACTTAGTTACTCATTAATGTTAGAAGGCTGTGTGTTGCCTCAGAGCTTTGATATCATTATCTGTATAGTGGGAATGCTAATCATATCTGTGTATCAACACTAAAGTACTGCTCATGAAATCACTCAATGAACTGTCAGGTCTATCACAATATTAGATGAAATTGCTGGTCATTATTCTTGTTGTTGTACTACTATGTCCTTTCTTTAGAAGTATGTCAGAACCAGTGAGGTTGATATAATTAGAACATTTTAGGCTCCTCATACAGCTTTCAATGTCAATTTTCAGAAAAATACAGATTATTTAAATAAACAGCAGCAGGAGATAGTAGCGTGATTGACTGTATTTTCTTCACTGCCCATTGTGATACCCTGTGAAAGTATATCCACATTTTCTTTTTTTTGTTTTGTTTTGTTTTTTGAGACAAAGTCTCTTTCCGTCACCCAGGCTGGAATGCAGTGGCGCGATCGTGGCTCACTGTAACCTCCACCTCCCAGGTTCAAGCAATTCTCCTGCCTCAGCCTCTTGAGTAGCTAGGACCACTGGTGCATGCCTCCACACCTGGCTATTTTTTTTTTCTTGTATTTTTAGTAGAGACGAGGTTTCACCATGTTGGTGAGGCTGGCCTCGAACTCCTGACTTCAAGTGATCAGCCTGCCTCAGCCTCCCAAAGTGCTGGAATTACAGGTGTGAGCCACCGTGCCTGGCCAGTATGTCCACATTTTCTATGTCTCCTTGATTTATTGATGGTTCCAATGAAGAGGGGGTTACCTGAGGCATTTTGGGGCAGACACCTCATGATAGATCCCACCAACTTCTTTCTGCCTGCTCTCTTGGAAGATATATACCCATCTTGAATGTTTCCTGCTTACTGACTTGTCCTAGGGACACAAAAGTGCTAAGTGTATACACTTTTATCATAAGTTTTAAAAATCCACAAATAAAATTAAAAAACTATTAAAAAATTTCCCCTTCAATAATTATATGAAGAACATGAATTGCTAGGTAGAAAGTCATTATAAAAATACATATACATTTAACAGTTTCATTGTTTTCCAAAAAATTTAGCGCAATTATTCTGAAAATTAAAAGAAATTATGATTCCACTGCTTGAAATCCTGGCATTTATTGAAGATTCCTCAAAAGAACTGACCCATTTGTATTGGCAGGGTCATAAAACTGCTCAGAGTTTTGCTCAGGAAGCATAGTTTGTCCTGTGAAGCTTCTTAAGGGTAACTTTTCAACACATTATAAATATTTTAAATCAATTGGTTGAACTTAATGTCATTTAAGTTGTAATGAAAGCTCTACTCAAATGCTGTGCCCTGAAAGGACAAGATAATAAATAAAGATATATATTTTTGCCACTTATTTTTTAGCAAGTCCTGCTGAAATGGGAGAATGTTTTAAATTACAAAGCAATTTAAGAATTCTAAGGAGGGCATATAGATTCATAACTTGTTGCATCTTTTGTAGGATACAGCCAGCCTGTACTTCATGATACAAAACATTCTACAAAAATATGTTTGAGAAGTCAAATGTCTAAAAAAATACAATAGACTTTTTTATGGTATGGGTATAATATTTCACTTTTGGGAAGCTATCAATGAGTACCATTTCTTAAGCATCATCCCTGCTGGCAGTGCCTTTGCCTCCTAGGGTTCAGGTGTTCCAGTGAGTGGGTTCAGACCTTCACAGGCAGCAGGAGAGGCAATTGCCTGCCCATTATCTCCTGGGAAAAAGAGAAGTCAAGCCATGAGCCTCCCTTTCTCATAGGAACGTTGTCTCTGTCTGATCCTTTCCATGGGGACTTGATCTGAATTCTGGGTGGCTTGCAGTTGTTAAGTCACTTGAAGTAGATGCCTGTAATGTTCTGGAGCATGGTGAAGGGAAAAGTGAGTGGGATATGCCAGGCTTATGTATGTGGCTGCCTGTGGGAAACTCTCTAGCTGTCTTCTAAAGCAGCACTGCAAGTTGCCTTTTCTTATTGCTGTTCTCACTGCCTGCAATTGAATGAGGACTGAGGAGGAGGGAAGGATTTGGAAAGAAAGAGAATAAGTTGGGTAAGGGGGTGCTGGCAGTGACGGTGACAATGTGTGAACTGATAGGTGTCTGAGAGTCCTAGGAATCTGCATGGGACCCCTCAGCATTGAAGAGAGAAGGGAGGGGAGAAAAGACTGTGAATATGCTGCAGTGAGAATTGTCAGAAAGCAGTTTGTTTTTTGGCTTGGCTGGTGCTGCTACAATTAATAGCCTAAAAGTGTCACAGCTACCTCATGAGGGCTGACTTTTCTTCCCTTGCTCAAACCTCCATGGGTATCTCTAAATCATTGTCAGTCAATTCTGGAATAAAATTGTGAATTTGGCCTACAGAAGGTGGTTTAGGGCATGACTTAAAATATACAAACATATCTATTATGTAAATGTCAAGAATCACCTTTTCCATGTGAGTGTATTGAAAAAACTGTTATACACCATAATTCCCTGGTCACAATAGCTCCTGAACAAGTCAAATCTATATCAAGTCCAAGTCTAGCGAGCATTGCTAAGTGCTCACATTAATTCCAAAGTACAGTTTGTATTTACTTAAATCCTACTTTAAATAAAAGAATTAAATGACCAGATAGATATGATGAATCTATATGTGACTTTACTCGATATTTTCAGTTGTTTTTCTGTGTGTTGCCAATAATTACAAATGGTGTTCATAAAATCCCAATATTTCCAATACGGATATACTTTAAATTTTAAAATGTATTTCTTGTATATGCAGTACCATGGAAAGGAGGAGAATATAATATTGAATATAGTATATTTAAACAATATCCTTTGGCCACGTGCAAGGTTATTGTAAACTTGCAGAAATTATAGAATTAAAACCTTATAACCATCTCTCACAGGTACTTCTGAAGGAGAAATACCAAAGTCAAACATTCTTTTAGAAAAATATTGGCTTCTTTTCTTTCAAAATACCATTTCTAACTAATTATAAAATCAAAGGAAACCACTATAGTTTTAAAAGTATCTGTTTTGGCTAGTTGAGGAAAGTCAGTTATTATTCAGCTCACGTAACATAGTTCATCTTATATATGTAGCATTTTTATTACTGTTCTAGTACTGATTTTAGTTCATTGCAATTTATGCTATTTGCGCTCTATTTGAAACACTTTTTTACTTCATATAGAAGCAAAAAGTATGAGGAATGCTGGAGCACCATTGGCTTTTGGAACCATTCTATTCTGTTATTGTAATGAAATTATTAATTTAAGGTGGAAATCCAAAATGTTCTGTATGGTATGGTGCTAGTACAAACGGTCATTGACTCCTGTACAAATTAAGCTGCAACACTGTTTAGAAAGATTGTGGGACTGTAAGACCAACTAATTATACTTATCCATTTTCTTTTTATCACAGTGATTTTCTTATCAGAGTTCTTAAGGCAATGCAACTATATAGGAAAGATCTTTTACTAGTGCTAGTTGAAACTTCTGAAATAGCCTTGGTTGTATGAAGAATTTTTTTAAGTGAGAACCAAAGCCAGATTTATTTTTATGGGAACTAAAAACATGGATACTCAACCTCGATTAACCTCATGATAGTTTAAATACAACTAATCTTGGTTTCTTGTTTATCGAGTCATTTTCTCTACTTAAAGTTTATTAATATTATTGTCATTACTGTTTATAGTTATCGCTAAATACAGCCCACAGGCCAGTTGGTGCTGAAAGGGAAGACCTTTTATCCTATAATGTTTAATTACTTCTTTCAGCTTGGGAAAGTATGGGCAGAAAGATAGTGAACTTTAGCATAAGAACAATTGAACAAAGTTCTATTTAGTCTGATGGTTTTCCTCAATTGTAAAATTGATTCTCTTGATCAATAGTGTAGAGAGAAAAAAAGGTAATGCTGCAGAGAAGTGAGGTGGAAAATGGTACCATTCAATAGGACTTGACAGCAGCACCACAATCTTGTAGTGGCATAGATTCCAAGAATAGCTCTGTTCATGGCCACTAGTAAATACAAATAAAATAAGCAAACACAATTTAAATTATTTTCCACTTTGATTTAGTCACATCATTTGTTTTGTCCATTATTTTGACAGAGTCCTCTAATGAAGCATTTACTTGGTACAAAGAATTGTGTAAGGGATGGCAGATATATTGTTAGAATTTTCTATGTAAGTCTAGTTATAAAAATGCAATAAATAGGCCGGACACAGTTGCTCATGCCTGTAATGTCAGCACTTTGGGAGGCTGAGGCGGGTGTACCACAAGGTAAGGAGTTCAAGACCAGCCTGGCCAATATGGTGAAACCCCATCTCTACAAAAAAATACAAAAATTAGCCTGGCGTAGTGGCAGATGCCTGTAATCCCAGCTACTTGAGAGGCTGAGGCAGGAGAATTGCTTAAACCTGGGAGGCAGAGGTTGCAATGAGCCAAGATCGCATCACTGCACAGCCTAGGCGACAGGGTGAGACTGTCTAAAAAACAAAACAAAACAAAACAAAAAACCAATACATATATAAATATACAAATACATTCAGTGAAGTCATAGTGCATATATACAGTAGTGAGTGAAATACTCAAAACACAAAATACTCAGTGATCTCCATGATGCCTCTTGCACAGGTATAAACAGCCTGGACAGTAATTTTTCCTGAGAATGCAAGAATATGAACTTAGATGTACTTGAGATTCAGATGTATTATACTGACAAAGGTGTTTGACAAATTATCTCCTGACTGATGCCACAATTCAAGATGGGATAAAGGATTTTCTAATAGATAAAGGTCACCAGGAGAATTTTAGGGGTCTGACAGGGGGTGCCAGGCTCAGAATCAGGGCATAGATGGTGGGAAGGAAGGCGGCAGGTACGAGATTTCAGTGGGGAATGGCAGTGGTTTCCAGTGCAGTGAGCTGAGTACAATTGGGTACCACCCTTCTCAGTCCCCAGGTACCATGAGCATGTGGCAAATTGTAAATCACTAGTTGGACAAGGACAGCTTCTACTATTGGGATCTATGGATGTGCTCACTGATGGCTGGACACTAGAAAAGGAAGGTGTTTGCTTACTGGCTTGAGAGAACAATGAGAAGAAGAGGAAGAAAATGTCAGTAAAAAAGAAAAGCACTGATGGAAGCATAAGACCTGAAGAGGCTACAGAATGCAGGAGGTCCTATGGTGGCCACCCCAGAAAGAATGAGCAGCAGCCTGAATGCTCAGAGAGAAAGGAAAATGGGACAGCTGCAGATGGCAACTCACAGATTGCAGCCTAGATGCTCGCTGGCCTGCTACTCTATCCCTGACTTCACATGTACAATAGCCTGTGTCCTCTGGTCTCCATGGTGCAGAGAGGTCAAAGTACACTGGTCTGGTTTAGCCTTCTCTACAATCCCAATTTTTCTGAGAGCATTAGAAAAGACAAAAGAAATGGGAGTGCTAAGCATTTGGTATATGAGGGTGATATGGTTTGCCTTTGTTTCCCCACCCATATCTCATCTTGAATTGTAATCCCATAATCCCACATGTTGTGGAAGGGACCCAGAGGGAAGTAATTGCATCATGGGGGCGGTTAGCCTCATGCTGTTCTTGTGTTCTTGTGTTGTTGATGGTTACATAAGAGGCATTTCCCCCACTTCCTCCACATTTCTCCTTGCTGCCTCCATGTGAAGAAGGACATGCTTCCTGTTCCTTCCACCATGATTGTAAGTTTCCTGAGACCTCCCCAGCCATGCAGAACTTTAAGTCAATTAAACCTCTTTCTTTTGTGAGTTATCCAGTCTCAGGTATTTCTTCATAGCACTGTGAGAACAGACTGATACGTGGGGCTACTAAATCAACATATGTACAAACTTTACCTTATCTAGCACCTTCAAATCAATGTTGTTTAAACACCACTTCTTGACCTGTTCCTGGCCCTTTCATCTATTTCTTCACTATCTCCCATAAGCTTGATGGTGAATAAAGCTCATTTTGTGTTATCATTGACTTTCTGGCTCTGTCCTTGATTTCAAACATTGCATCTGATGCATTCCAGATCGTGGAACCCTATCCCAGAATTAAAGTTAAGTTTGTCTTAGCCTTTATAAGTGTGGAGTAGGCAGACAAAATAATACGATCAAAGACTTACAATCAGTAGTAATGATCAAACAGGTCTATGAAGGAAGTTTAGAATAAATAGCTAATGGGTTATAAAAGTTCTGAATGGAGAAGGCAATCTTAATCATGTATAGCTATATCACTGAGGGGAAATCCAAATGATCCTGGCTTTGAAAACGGCCTTAGAAACTTCTAAGCCTAAACAAAGTCAATGACATATTAGAGATTTTCTGGTACATTTATGTCCTCATCTGGTTCTGTATTCAAAGGCAGCACCATTTCAAAAAATTGGATGGAAGCGTGGATTGGGGAGTGCAGAAGGAGCTGAGTGGGATCCTGTGAGAGATGATAATAGTGCATAAGTGCATATCTCATTTTCCAGAATCACATTGCTCAAAATATCAGCTACTTTATCAGCAAAGCTAGAGGTCCTGGCAGTGGTGGTGGTAACTCCACAGCTTATGTGCTATGGACTCTCTCTCAATAATCTCCAAAAATCGACTAACAATGAGAATTTTACTAGAAAAAGAAATGACTTTAATTTACAGAGTCCAAAGACCATAGGTCACTAGTCTCTGAGCATCTAGTATATGGAGAACCAGACATACCAATCAGACACTCTGAGACCCCAGCAGCACTCTCAGATTGCAGCCTGCATGCTCCCCAGCCTGCTACTCTGTCCCTGACTTCACATGTACAGTTTCCCACAGATACCTGTGTCCTCTGTCTCCACAGTAGAGAGAGGTCAAAGTAATATAACAGAATCCAGAAGGCCTGGCCTTCAGCATCACTGTGTCCCTGGCTAATACAAAGGCCATGTCACTTTTCCTTGCTGGTCCTCATTTTTCTCACTTTTTATAAAAGAGATTGAGTCTGGATGACTCCTCACATCTTTCCCAGCACTTTGAATTTTTAAATTCATAAATCATTTGAGAAAATTTTGCTCAGTTCCATCTGTACCTGTATGATGATGCTGCTCACTTAAACTCTTCCTCTGTCTCATCCAATATCCACCAAGTGCCGTGTGACTCAGTTTCCTCTTTGTATCAGTGCTGGCTTGGGTGATTCCTGCCTCCTCTAAGATGGTGAAATATAGAACAAATAGTTCCTATTTTATTTGTACATTTCCTTTTTGTGAAGTCAGTTTTGACTGCAAAACCAGCAAATCTTCTGTGAATAACTCCTTTTGCTTTATAATAAAATAGGAAGATTTCTGATAACACAGGTGATTCAAGATTGCTGAAAGGTTTAATGATATATGCACTTGAAGTGATAAACGAATTATGTTGAAAAAGAAAATACTTAGAAGTGAATGATACAGAATTGTCTGAAAAACATTGTAATCTCAGCCATCATGAATAAATTCAATAATTTTACTACTTCTAAAAAATGTTCTACAACTGATGTTATGTATTTGATTAGAGAAAATATTCCACAACATTTCAAAACCTTTTAACTCACATAATATATCCTACTCATAACAAATTTTAGTTTTGAAAACTGCTTCTAAACAAGTCACTTAACCTCCCTGCAACTACTTTTCCTCATCTGTAAACTGCAGAGTTTGAAATAGCTAATCTCTAAAGTGCCTTCCGGTTTGAAAATGTTATGATTCAGTTTTGCTTCTCATTTATTGTATACAGTGAGAACAACTATTTTAGTGGCTAGGCACAATCGAAAACCTAATGATAATGACTTCAGCAGGGGTCTAATTGGAGCTTTTAGATATAAATTCAATTTATGCTAAGGTCTTTCTCATGGGCCTTAGTTGGATGGCGGCTTTACAGAATATTATTGGGGTTGGGTGAATTCCAAAGCATCTTTATTTTATAGCAGTATTTTTACTTTTCAATAGAGTCATACTAATTTATAAGTTCATAGTGTAGAAAGACTTTGGCAATGGGAATTATTTTTAAATGAAAAATGATGAATATATTTTGCATAGGTTACATAATTTCAGAGCCAGAAGCGATCCTGGAAAATTTATGCAGTATTACCAGGATAAGAACAATGCTAAAATAAGGAAATACATGTACCTGATTCATTAATCAGAAGATTTATATGGATAATTTTCTAACAGAAAGGAATATTTTGGGATTAAATAATAAAAGTGAATATGTTTCCAAGATAAAACAGTTGTCCCCATTATTCCTACCAGATGTCATGTGGAGAAATAAGCAGCAAAACAGAAAATAATTTTGAAAATTGTGTAGATAAATATTTTTCAGATTATATTTTGTGACCATTATGTCTGCAAAAACCTATTGCTCAAAAATGGGCACTGTATTCAAATAAATTTGGGAAACACTATTTTAAACAAAGTTAAATCATATTTTAATTATAGAACTTTTAGAAGCCTTAATATTTTAGTGTGATATTTACTGTTAATTTCCAAGAGGATACAGTATACACAGTTTTAAAAATAAACTCATTAACTAGGGAACTTTAAAAATTTTTGATACAGATTAAAATATATATAATAATTATAAAGAAAGAGTACTATAAAATTTTAAATTCTGATCTATGCTATCTTGGAAAACATTCAGCTTAAAATATTTGTAGTTGCAGTTACTTGTGCAACTATATATGTGTCTTTGTATTTACATATATGTGTTTTTTTTTTTAACTAAAAGACAACTTGGGAACATATTCAGAAAAACTTTTATGTTAATGTTCGTTTTTATGCTGCTATTTGTCTTCATGGTGTTCCAGTCTGGGTTCCGGGGTTATGTCTTTAGTTTTTGCCACTCATTTGGGCTCTAGGTGCACTTTTAACAGTTTACTTTTATCTGTACTTTACTATCTTACTTCACTCTCATAACCTCAAACTGAATTTGGCTCAACCTAATTTATTTATCCATTGCCCACCTCGTTTTCCCTCCACTCTGAAAACCACATAAAGGCGTTCTCTGTGCAGCATGCCGTATTTCCATTAGTAGTGCTGCAACACACCCTGCCAGAAGCGTAGGACCATTCTGAACTCCTTTCTTTCTCCACTGATTACTGCCAAATAGTTAATAAGTCTTGTTGATTTTACCTGCTAATAGATAGCTACCTGAAAAAGAATGAAACTGGAGCCTTTTCTAGTATCAGATACAAAAATCTTCTTTTTTTCTATCTCTGCTGCATGATTGTAATTGCCTCCTAATTATTCATCACATATACTTTTCCAAGCTCTTTTTTCTTTTTGTCACAATGCATATTTAAAACACAAATGTGATCATACCTTTTCTTCCCTTCATAGCCTCTCATAGCTTCTTCCTTTGTAGAAAATGCCAAAGTCCTTACTATGGCCTACAAGGTCGTCAGTGACATTTGCACTCTAATGCTTTCTGATGCCATATCCCCTTTCTATTTTTTAAAAATTAACTTTATAGAGGTGTAATTAATATGCAATAAATGCAACCATTTTAAGTGCACATTTTGCAATTTTGACAAATTTATAACTTTATATATTTAGGGTATAGGACATTTCTATCACACCAGAAATGTCCCTTGGGCTCCTTCTCAGTCAACTTCAAACTCTACCCCAGGCCTTTCTGGTTTCTATGATTCAGTGTATTTTTTTTTCCTTCAGTTTAAGTGGAAGAGTCCTTGACATGTTCATGCAATGCAGGGTCTTCCCTAGTGTTGTTTCCTCTGCCTGGGATCCTCCTCTCTGCCTCTAATGCCAAACACATACCCAATTGCCCACCAACTCTTATCCATCCATTTTCAATTTAAACATCATTTCCTGAGTCATTTGGAAGAGTGCCTGGCCACATATAAAGCACTCAAGAAATGTTAGTTATTATAATGAATTATAAATTGGTAGCTTGAAACCTATTGGGTTTTCCTGCAATAAAATTATAGAAAAATGGATAACAGTTTAAAATAAAAATACTAATTTGCATCTATTGAGATGATCATATGATTTACAAAGTGAGACAGTTTTGATGAGGGTATATTGTTCATTCTGACATTTGCTTTGAAACCAGAAGAGCTCTCTGTGTTTTTCTTTAGTCTGTTATTGGTCAATACATTTTCTTAGATGCCATCAAAGGTAGAATTTAGAGAAAAAACCCATTAGATCACCTTACAGATAATATCTTCTGTAGTTGTAGGGTGCCTTAACTCTGTGTTCTTAATGCACAAAAAAAGGTCTATGTTTACCCAGCTACTGAACTGTTATGTGGAAGAGAAAGAGAAAGAAAAGGAAGTAATTACTTTGTTGGGGCTTATCCCATCCATTATCCTTTGTCTATTATTACATATCTATTGTTTTGATACTTTTTGCTATTTTTAAGACAAGATCTCTCTCTGTCACCCAGGCTGGGGTGCACTGGTGCCATCATAGCTCACTGTAGCCTTGAACTCCTGTGCTCAAACTCCTGGGCTCCTCCCACCTCAACCTCCCAAGTAGCTGGGACTACAGGTGTGTGTCCCTGCACCTGAACATTTTTAATTTTTTTAAATGATCTATTATGTCATTGTGAAGGCTACATTGACCAGGCCATAGTTCTGGATTAATTCTCCCAAAGCCACATAGATGTGAGCTTGCTCTCTAATTAAATATCAAGAATTATTTTAGGAAATCTTCTTGGTGGGATATCCCTTCTGGTGATTAATAAATCATAAAGCTCAAAGAAGACAGTTGAAGGAGCAGCTATTAAACCAATGTGATCCTATTAAAGGGAAACTGAGAAAAATCGTTTTAGCCAGAATTTGACATTAAACTTTGTAAATAAATTAAAAATTTTAAAATAATTTTTTTCTAAGGAAATTGAAGAAAGTCTCATATAATAAAGCTGGATACTCTTCCACAATTAAAGATAAAAAAGAGAAGAAGTTGGAAGTGTGTTATGTTAGTGACTGATGTGATTTGTATTTATGTGCTCTCCAAAGACCTTGTGTAGCCTGGAAACATTCATTTGTTAAAATGCTAAAAAGTAAAATATTTATTGTTTCATATAAAATCCTCTATGAGATGAAAATAAAGGAAGATTATTTGCTTTAATCATAAATTGTGCTATAATATTTTACTCTGAATATTTGTGATTGTACTGTTTGTAATAGTATCATCAGTTATGTTGATTTTAGTCCTCTTTATTTACCTTGAATCAAAATTTTTCACATCTCAAATACATTTCTAAACCATTTATTTCAGTTGTTTGAAGAAAGCTAGTTAAGCTGCTATTTTATCCCTTGGTTTATGATTTTACAATTTCTTGTGTTTCTACTGACGTTTTGCCATGGTGTGGCCCTGGCAGGATTTGTTTAGGGAGTGTGCTCAAATGAGAATAAGAGGGAAAGAGAAAATAATGCAAATGCTGCTGAAGGCTTTCATACAAACCAAATCATACTCAATTACTAAAAAGAATTAGACTGGGGCTTGTGTTGCCAAAAGGCATTTAAGAACTCAAATTATGTAATTAAAATGTTTATGTTGATCAAATTAGCCAGAGTACAAAGCAGTCCATAACAAAAATGAAGTTATTCAAGTTAATTCAAAAGTTATTAACATGTACAAGTTAGAAATTTAGCAAAAAAAAGAAATATCCACCTGCTACACATATATAGACAAATACAAATCACTTTAAAACTCACCACATAAAGATAATTTTTCATTCTATTTCTTTTGAAACCCGTGTTTTTCAACATATTGGGCTCCTATATTCATGCATTTTTATAACCTTCTTTTTATACTCAAAATGTTAACACACCCTTACATCTTTTTTTAAACTTTTATTTTGAAATAATTTTAGACTCATATAAAATTTGTAAAAATAGTATGTTTTCAGTGTACCCAGCTTCTTCCAATGATAACATTTTACATAACCAGAATACAGTGATCAGAAATAGGAAACTGACATTGGTGAAACATTATTGGTCTACACTATAGCCCTTATTTAGATTTCACCAGTTTTTATGTATGCCCCTTTTGTGTGGGTGCATATGTGTGTGTATTTCTTTGAAATTTTATCTTCAATGTAGCTTTAATTTGCATTTCTTTTATGGTGAATGAGTTAAATATCTTTTCATAAGTTTAATTACAATTTTTATATCTTTTATGTGAATTATTTGTTCATGTATTTGCCCACTTTTGTATCTGGTTTTCATATTCTTTTTCTTAAATTTTAACAATTCTTTAAGCATTAGGAATATCAGCTCTTTATTTGTGATATATGTTGCAAATATTTTAGTTTGTCAGTTTTATTTAGATTAAAAAATTTTTTTGAAAAGATAACAGTTGTGTTAAAATATAGTTCATATACCATATATTTCACACATCTAAAGCAGACATTTGAATGTTTTCCAGTATATTCAGAGTTGTGCAACCATCACCACAATTAGTTTTAGAATATTATTGTCACTTCTTTCCTGGAAACAAACAAACCTTACAGTCATTAGCAGTCACTATTTCCTTCCCAAATTTTCCAACTTTAGGTAAAGACCAACCTACTTTCTATTGCTAAGGATTTGCCTATTCTTGAAATTTCTCCTTATATCCTAAGACTTAATAGGTCTAACAGACATGATATTTTGAAGAGCTATAATGTATTCTATGGTAAAATGTTGCCATATTTATTTAAGCCATCATGATTATTAAATATTTTGGTTGTTTCCAAATTTAACCTTATAAACGATGCATTTGATTAAGTTATGACTACTTTTCTGTTCATTTCCTAAAGATAAATTTTGAGAAATCAAATTGTTTGGTCAAGGACTGGGCACATTTTTAAAGCTTTTGTCACGTTTTGACAAAAACAAACAAAAAAAAAATTGAAAGATGTTTTCAATTTGAACTCCCTTTGAGAATGGATAATTCTTGAACCTTTACCAAAAACTATAATTAGAGATTATTTAAAAAATTATCTTATTTGAAAGATGCTTCTAACTCTCTGATTAACAGGAATTCAAATTTTTTATAATCACATTTATTAGATATTCTTATGACAGACTGACCTTGCTCTTTGACCATTTATAATTGAAATGATAGTTTCTTACTGATTCCTAAGAGCTTATATATGAAATATATTCACAAGTTTTGTCAAATATATTGCCAATTTGTCTCCATGTTGCCTTTTAAAATTTTGTTTCTGCTCTTTTTGTTCTATAGATGTGAAAACATTTTTATAAATATATTAATCTTTTGTGTTTTAATCTTGAAAATTACACATATTATGTATACACCTGAAGGAAAGCCTTTTTCTAATTCCTTTATTTTTATTTTATCCATTAGTATATGTGGAACTTTTTGACTTGTATAAATATTAGGGGGAGCTCTGTGTTTCCCTAATTAAACAATTGTGGCATATGCATTCTGTAGAAGCCAATGGTGATGCATTTCCACAGGAACTATTCCTGCTCAAAAAAAAAAATCAGTGAAATTTGTCTAACGTACTCTTATGCCATAAATACAAACAATTATCATAATCATTTGCCTGTGCTTAAAGTTATTTCAGTCAGCACATTACTAATAATTTGCTAACTTAGAATATCAAACATTAATCATTATATTTTGTATACCTTAAAACACATACTGAATGTTTTTAAAGATGCAGACAACCAGCACACCTTCCCACCCAAGCTAATTTCAGTGTAATTTAAAATTGATTTGAATCTGTATATGGAAGATGCGCATGGCTTGTTCTTAAGTTTTGTGGAGAAATCAGAGAATTTTAGACCTGCACAACACAGTCTCCTTCTGTACCTGAGATAAAAGCGGGAGCTATTTTTTGTTTGTTTGTTTTTCCTTTCTGCTCTGGGTTTATAATTAGAATACAAATAGTCTTGGTCCTGCAAAAAAAAAAATCTAGGGAAGAATTATTGATATAAAATAGATTTGATTTTTTTATGGCATTTCCTGAATCAGAATCAAATTGTTTGGCCGAAGATGTGTTTGGTTCCATCTTAACTGTTGCTGACTTCAGTCATTGCTGTTTGAAATTTCCCTTAGGCCGAACCTAGCCTATAGCTCACTGCTTGCACTATCATCCTGTGGGGAAGCAAAACAAAACAATACTGGCACAGAAATCAACCTTCTCCCATAATAATGTCCTTAGGAACAGGCCTGATAGCCACATTGAAAAAAGCATAGTTGCACCATATCTGATGTAGCCATTTCTTGCACTATGAACTCTGAGGAATTTAGGCTGGACCATCGATTTGAAAATACATCAGTGTCAGTGCAGTGAGGCCAGGGCAGTTTGAATGGTCGTCTTCATGCTAAAATCTGATTGTTTTTATTGAATGCTTTTATTTTTTAACCTGTTGTAAATTTATATTTGCATAATATAAATTTGCAATTTAATATTTTATATCCTCTTTCAATATTTCCTTTCTGCTTTTTTTTTTTGCTATTCTATCTTCCGCTTAAAAAAAAGTAAGTATTGTTGACATTAATCAGTTTCAAGGATGATAGGAAAAAGAGGTTTGTTTTTCTAACTAGTTATCTCCCCTTTCTAACTTCAGAATATTTGAGGATGCAATCTCACCTCTGTTATTTACTGTGAGAATTTGAGGAAATTACTTAACTTTTCTGATTCTATTTTTCTAATCCGTAAAATGGGATGAAAACTGCTGTCTTGTAAGGCAGTAGTGAGGGTTAACAGGTTCTTTAGCTCTTACAAAAAAGTCAAGTGATTACATGTATCTGACATGTTGCTAGGGAGTTACAATATTAAGATGAAGAAGGTAGAAAGTCAGGGACTTGGCCCTCAATAAATTTTAGGACCAGTAAAAGATAGGAAAATTTAGAGTCTGCGAGTTTGAAAGAGACTGGTTCTAGAAGAGCAATTCATTATTTCTGCTAATAATATAATGCAAAAAATCAGTTGCCATCATATTTGAATGTTTGTTTTATTATTAACTTAATGGAGAGCCTTAAGTCTATTGACCTCATGTGAGAAAGCCAAGCTTCTCAAATAATTTGATTGCATCTCTGTGAATTTATTTCACTAGGGTGAGGAAATTGAGAACCAGAGACTTGGGGTGATTTTCTTAAGGCTTTAGTGACAAGATCAAGGCTAGGTCCAAATTTCCAGTAGATTTATGTAACTTAGTGCATTTTTATACTTATGCCAAAATTACTTATTTTCTTTTTATCAGAAACACTATTCAGAAAATGAGATCAGATGTTTTTTCAGGTAGAGTACAATTAAAAAAAGAAAAAACAATTACAGAGAAAGCTCTTATCCAGAAATGGGGCTAGTTTTCAGCATCTATTTGGAATTTAAATGCATTCTAGTGAACTCCAAGCAGATTAGCCTGTATTTGAAATATAAGGTCAAGTGGGAGGTTATAATCAGAAAGAATTAGAACTCCAGAAATTAAAGTTACCTTGAGAGTAAATGGCTGTTCTATATGGAATTATTTTTTGTTAAAACAATTTTACACAAAATGCCTTTATAGGTAACTATTATTTTAACCAAATGTAATAATATACGAATGACATGAAGGAATGTAGGCTATATTGCGAATTATTTTTGAATTGTGACTGTTACAGCTATTATAACCAGGAGTGTAGCTAAAAACCTAGTATTATGTATTAAGACAATAAGCTGATCACACATATTAATTCGTGCTTTAGAATTCCAATATAGTCTATACAAGAAAAACTAGTCATCTCCAGTTGCTTAAAAGACAAGTAATTCTAATAATCTTGTGAATGCAGAATTGAAAACGCACATGATAATGGATAATGGAGTTAAAGTAATAGAAAGTTCTTGAAGAAACTTATGAACCCCTTCTGAGATTTACTTTATAATGATTTATAGATTATCTTGATTGGCGTGATGGTATTATGGGTTTTTATATTTGTCAAAATTTATTGAACTATACGCTCACTTTGTGTATATATTTTACTATATATATATATTATATCCCAATAAAGTAGTTTGAACAAAACATCACCTTAAGTTGAACGATGCTATATTGATGTCAGATGCTCTGTTTGCCAAACTATTTTTCGCCATTCAATCTCCTTGTTCTTTATACTTTGATACTTTGGTTGCTAGAAATGTAGCTCTTGGGAAAAAATAAAAATAATACATTCTTAATAAAAGTATGATGAAATACTCACTTGCAAAATGTCCAGAACAACATATGACAGAATTTTGACATCTATGAAAGGCACCAGCCCTCTTTGGATTTCTGCAGCATTTTCTTTTGTACAAGGAAATAATGCTCATATAGAAAAGACACTACTGAACTTTCAGAGGTCTCCTACGAACGGAACTGTAGTACTCATTGTATTTTAATCAATTGGAGTTTTATTCTATTTTTATATTACTTTAAAATTGGAGTTTACACATTGGTAATATTAACATTTTTTAGTGGTAATAAAATTACATGCTGCAAGGAAATCAGGATACAGTAGCATACTGCTTTAATTTTTAGAAGTTAGTGTGAACCCAAGATCATGAAATCACTTTTCTATCTCTGTTGCTGAAAGCTTCTGAAGCTGGCAATAGAAGTAGCTACACCTTCACATCACCAGTACTCCTGATTGCCCCCTTGTGTCGATATATTGAATTTTAATCCCCGTCAAAAAAGGGGAACCAGGCCTTCTTAGAGATCTCATTCTGTTGTTGGAGGAGAGATCATTCAGAATGAGCACAGAATTTTCTATTATTGCAAAAAGCAAAAAGTGTTTTTAAATATATCAAACCTATTCCTGAATGGACAAAGAACCCCACTGAAGAAGGCTATCACTGGCCAATGGATAAAAATGTAAGCTTAAATAAGCTTGAATTCAAATGAAAATAATTTGAATCTGTAAAAAGCCATGAGTTCAAAATATAATTTAAAGGAAAAGTTACAATAAAATTTGCAATGGTGTAGTTATGATGCCAAGAAAGGGTAACTTCGATAGTAGATATTTGCTTTTTATTTATTTTATCAACTATGTAGAATGTGTGTGTACAGGTATTCTATATATGCATATACATATATCCTTTTTCAGTGTTTAAGATTGTTTCATGTATATATAGTTATTAATTATAAGCAAAATGAAAGCAAATACCTAAAAGAAAAAGAAAATATAAATATTTGAGCTCATATAAGCTCTGCATATGCAGATTGTGTGCATGTATATGTGTTTGTGCATCTTTGTGTAGCTAGTCTATGGGAAAGAGTAAAGAGGATTAAATTTGAGTGAGCCAAACATTCTCTGTAAAGGTAAAAACAATTTATAAATGACAGGATGTTGTAGCAGATATTTTCTTACTAAACAATCCTGGTATATGATAACCACTTAGAAAGATACTGTATCAAAGGGACAGCCAAGGTATATACAAGGGATCAAGGTGATCCTTTGATCACCTCTGGCGGTCATACACATTAATTAGTTAACACCACGTTTTGAGATAATAGGTTAGCCAGGTTCCAAAAAGAAGAATTGTTGGGGCAGACTTGAACCTTCATTTTCTAGTAGATAAATTGCCTTGATTCTCATTCTGTTGAAGTTATAGATAAATTCCACAGAAGTTTTGAATCACAATAAGTGACTAGGTAACAACACAAGAATAATGAGGTAGCATTGATCATTTCAAAAGTAGAGATCACATGTTTTCTGGAAAAGATGTGAAAGGCTTGGACTTAAAAGTCCCATGGGGCAGCAAATCAAATCACTCTGGACTACACAAAGAATCACTTGGTAGTCAAGCAAGAACAACAATAACATTTACATTCAGATAGAGTTCTATTTTTAAATTAAGTAAAATTATTATCATTCTAGGAAGTTGCTAAACGAAGTATCTACTTCAAATACTTACCCTTTAGAGGGCATAATACTAGAAATAATAAATTATAAATATATAAAAATGTATAAATGCACAAATGAGTAAATGAATGTTGATCAACATTCTACTGAATACTTGAGGGTCTCTATGCAGATTTCCAGAGCATGCTATCTCTCTCTCTCTCTATGCAATTCGCTCTTTCCCAGTATTCTGTCCTGCAAACACTTGCCACCTGGATTCCAAGTCTCCTCACCTTTGGAAGTCCATCAGCCTTATTCAGAGGAGTGAACAGGGGGCCGATGTAGGAATCACTTCATTTATTTCCTGTCTGACAAGGAACTCTGTTCTTTGTTGGCTGATGTCCAGTGTTTTGAAAAACCTTGATTAATAGTTTTTGGTTTTTCTTTTGTTTGTTTCAGGGAGGGCAAAACTATTTTCTGTTAGTTCTTCTTTGCCACAAGCCAGAAAGGACATATATGTTTACTATTATTGTAACAAAATAGGAAGTCCTCATAAAGTTTTTCTGCTGCATATCAAAATAAGATGGTTGCCCCCAAAAAAGCACTTGTCCAATTGATTGAGTTGAGAGCTAAACAATCCCCTTTCTTCATGGTACACAATATATTTTTTTTTGTAAAGAGTAACTGACAGACAAATTATGGTTATTCATGCTTGGCTATATGGCAAACATTTACTTTAAAATGAAAGAAGTGATCCTGTAACTTCAAGACAAAATAAGTGATCAATATTTGTTGCCAGTGATAAAATTGAAGCTGTCAAATGAAATCGAAATTTTGGAAAACTTGTGTGACATCCACTGTGAGTTGAGAGCTTCCCAATACTTAGATTTTTCTGATAAGGATGTGGTGATATTAACAAATAAATTTTTTATTGTTTAATAAAACATGTTAGTATTGGAAGAACTGCATAACTCAGTGAAATCATATTTTTCAGTGATCAATGGTAGAAAATTATGCAAATGTGAAAGACCATTTAAAGAGTGGAATATACAATTTAATATAACAGTATAATGTAACAGGGCATAATAATATTTATTAAATGGATTTCAGATTGCACATTGTAATGAAGCTTTAATAAGTCACCAATTGTCAAGTTTTAGTGTAGTATCAAGGGAGAACGTTCACAGTTATCTGGAAATTATATTAAAATATTCCTCTTTTTCCAACTGCGTATCTATGTGAGACTGAATTTTCTTCAAGTACTTCAAAATAACATATTGCAACAGATTGTACTCACAAGTATATATGAGAATTTAGCTGACTTTCGATGGCCATCTATTAAAGAGATGTGCAAAAATGTAAAATACCACCACTAATCTCCCCAAGTTTTTTAAGAAAATATATTTACTTTCTACTAAAATGTGTTATTTATTTAAAAATATAATACATGTATTATTGTTTTAAATTAAATTAATAAGTATTTTAATTTTTCAACTTTTTCTTTTATGAGAAATACTGATAAATATAACTGACTTAAAAAAATCTTTGGGATTTTCAATTAATTTCAGGGTATTAAGGGATTCACAGACAAAAACATTTTAAAATTGCTTTTTTAATCACTGTAATATCATATACAGATAAAGCCAGTATTATTCAAGTATGTATCACATGCCTGGTCCAATCAAAGCTCTGTTAAAATACGCTCAATTCTTTTGTTTGTAAGGAAAGTACAATAAGATAAATACTATTATAGCCTCCTTATAGATAATGGAAAAATGAGACATAATTTTCCCAAATCATAAGCTAATGTGAAAAAAGTCAAAATTTAAACACAGGCAGACTGTCTCTCAAGTTTGTATTCTTAAACACCATTTTATATTATTCTGCTAAGTGTTTTGTTACATGTTACAGTGGTTTCAATATTTTAGAGTAGAACACATGGGATATCCTTGTTGAAGTGTTTGGAAAATTATTTGAAGTATTTATTTGGAAGGGGCTTGAAAGTATTTTTCTATAATTAAAAAGTGTTTGCTTATTTTTAAAGCTCAAAATAGATTTGTTACCTATACTATTAAGTAGATTTTAACATACTAAATATCTTTTATTACACATTTTTTAGTTTCTCCTAATTTACAGAGTACATTATAGTGGTAAGAGCAGGGGCTCAGACTTTCTTGATTTGACATTTTAGGGCCATGGTCAAACCCTGTAAACTCTTTGTGCCTTTGTTTCTTAATCTTGAAAACTGAGAGAAATAGAATCTATCTTGTAAAGAACTTTTGTGAGTTCCTTGAACTAATAAATATAAAAGTCTCAGAAACCTGCCCTTAACATAGTAAGGCTTCCAATAAATACTAACTATACTTGTTATAATAACTAGATAGTATTAGGTGGTCACGAATGTAACCTCCATAAATAAAGTCTTTTAAGTAGAATGATAACTTGCACCCTTTGATGTATAATTTCAGTTACTAATACATGTAACCAGACCTCATACAATTACGGTTAACTGTATTTTCCATCTTCAATGCCTGATAACTACATAGTTGGCGTAATCACAACTCTCAATTTGTTAGCTTTATAAAAATAGTTGAGCCAAAATGTTAACGTATGCTTAGCTTATCCTCACTCCTTTTCCAGTAGGATTGAGGCCAGTTTATTTTTACCTGCTATTTAGAGTTATAGAAAAACCTGGGTTCCTAGCATCTTATCTCTGATCAATTCTTGTGATGGAGTCCCTTACATTTGGCACCTTGAGAAGCTGCTAAGTTGTCCACATCTTAATATTAGGTACCAGGCTAAGTGCTTTATATACCTTTTTATATTTAGTCAGATAGCAAACCCATAAATTCGTTATGTTATCTGACTAAATATAACCTACCTTAGGTATAACATAAGGTATACCTCCTAGTTTCCTTAGGAGGAATACTGCTGTCCAGAAAGTAGAGTAATATGCTCAATGTTGCACAGCTATTAGGTGGCAAATCTGAGATTTAAGGCCAGGCGAATCATCTCATCCTTTGAAAGCTAACTACTTTGACTTTCTTAGCTTCAAGAAATTGAAATAATTAGATTGAAATTGAAATAATTAGATCCATCTATAAGCTTATTTGCAATATTAGATCCTGTGATTCTGCAACAGTTGAGACAGGAGTATGGAGAATAACACAGTCTTTGGAATCATATAAAGTGAAGATTGAATCCTTAACCAGCCATGTTAGCAGTTTAACCGAGAGCAGGTTCTTCACCGAGAGCAGGTTCTTCAACTCTTGTGCACATCATTTCTTCATCTAAAAACAAAAATAGGCATAATAATTTATACCTCACAGGATAGTCAGGAGGACTAAATCAAATAATCTATACATAGCACGTGGCATATAATAAGCATTCAACATATAATATCTCACCTCCTATTAACTGGGACTATTTTTAGTTTGGCTCCTTGGGTGCTAGCCCTTTTCCATTAGAAGAGAGTTTGCAAAGAAGCTGTTCTCCAGGTTTCTGAAAGCTCTGGTTCTTGTGTTAGCCCCTTCATGGAAGATGTCAAAGAATTTTAGATAATACTATAGAAAAGTACAATACAAATTGATATCCATTGAGAAGGCACATTTTAGGAGAAAAATGTTCCCACTGACCAGAACAAAGTTCTGGCACAGAGGCAGAGTTCTGCAGCCTTCCACAGACACAGGCATGTTTCTTTGTCCCTGTCCATGGCAAAGCTATGCTCTGACCTCATCATCCTTCAATCAGTTGTTCATCTAAAGCATTTCCTTTCTAATGATCATCATCATGAAGGTAATTTGCTTGATTGGCAGCTTATTATTTCCTATTACCGGGTCCTCTGCTAATGAGTATTTCCCATCTGGATAAATATGTTTTAAATGGAACTTCTTTTGGAAGAGTAACAATATCTAGCCTTGTTTATGCAACAATTGTCTGTAAAATAAGAATGCCATGAATTTTATTTACTTCAGAATAGCAATAGATAATATTAAAAGTATTATTTTGAGTAATCTCCTTAAAATTGGGGATATTAGTAGTTGTGTTGAAACCTGTCAAACTCAGTAAACAAGATTCTCAAAATACTTAACTCAACTTCATTTGTAGGACATTAACCATTAAACCATTTTCTATCAGATTAACTTTTCCGGGATAGTTTTGAACTGAGATGAGATTGAATTGAATACATTAACTAATAAGCACTAGATTGGACATACAGAAAACCAATAATTAGTATTGTAGTATTTGTGTTTTGGGAGGTAGGATAAAGTGTTATGAGGTGTGATGAACAAGCTTTCTTAATGAGTGAGAAAACAGCTCAAAGTACACATTGATCTATAAACAAAATTGACTGACTATAAAATAAAATGACTTGAGATTATAATGCTTTCATAAGTCCCAAATTTGGAAGGGTTATACATCCAAATACTTAAAATATACTCATTGACTGCTAGGGAATATAATATTTAATAGCAGATTATTATACTGTCCTAGTTAAAATAATCACATGGGTAAAACTAGAGATATTCTATTACACTCAACTCTTATCTATCTTCTTTAACTTCACACTTAGATAGGAAATGATTGTTAACATTCCTTGTATAGCACATAATTTGGCCTGTCCAAAGAAAGATATGGCCTTTGCCCTAGGCTTTTGGGAGGTTATTTACATCACACATAATAGGAATGTCATTGTTTAGGATGAATTTGGATCTGGATTTACACTGGATCTTAGGGTGATGCCAGCCACACCCCATAGTCTTAGAGTGGGAGCTATTCATGCCAGAAAGACCAACAATGTGACTTAGGGTGAGGACTTTTGGTCACATTGTATCAGTTGGTCTGGAGACTGAGTCCAAACAATGGGCAATCAATCTATTAAGTAAGCCCACATAATAAAGCCACAATAAAAACTATGGACATAGAAACTTGGGTGAGCTTTCTTAGTGGTAATCTGTGCATATTGTTACTCATCAATGCTGGGAAGGTAATATGTCTTGACTCCACTGGGAGAAGACAATGGAAATTTTTATTTGGAACCTTCCTAGACTCTTTGTAGCTCTTCCTTTGGCTGATTTCAGTTTGTGTCCTTTCTCCGTAATAAACAGTAACCATAAGTACAAAAGCTTTCAGAGAGTTGTGTAAATCCTTCTAGAAAATTATTCAACCTGAGGGTGATTTGGGGACCCCTCCCTCCTGAGCTTTTGGTTGGTGTCAGAAGTAAGGACAGTTGAGGGCTGTGCTCTCAAACCTCACAGTTTGGTTAACTCCAGGGATTCATAATAAACATTATAAGCGTCACTAAAACCTGTATTGACTTCTGAATTTTCTCAGCCTAAATTATATTCAGTAGAATTTTGCTGTTATTTTGGACATACTGTATTTCTCAGAAAGAGGTAATCAAACACTCGTGTAATACAGAATTTATCAGTTGCCTACTAGGCATGTCTAGCTAACATGTAAGATTATTTTATTAGTCCAGATATTTCACTGATTGAGATATGTCATAATCTCAGCTATGCTCTGCTTTCTGATTGGACTAAACAATATATACTTTTTCATTAAATGATTCAATACAAATATTTAAGTAAAATATTCATATTCTGGTCTAAATCCATCTCAGTTTTTATATGGGGCAAATCAAATAAAAGTTTGTATTTTTTTCTGTCTGATTTTCCCTAAGGTTGTCTTAATGACCTGTGAATAGCAAGACTAATTATTTTGTTATGTCCTCATCAATTGTACAAATAAATTGAACCAGCCAAATAAGCTGGTTCCATTTGATTAGCTCCCACTCACTCTGCTTCAGCCATTGTCATTTGTTGGGAAGTGAGATTACAGAAACCAGCTCTCCCATGAAGTGGAACACTGCCAACTCTGTTGGGAGAACATAAATCATATCACAGTTATATCTCAAATCCATTATTAATAAAACTTTGCACTGTGGGCTTCAGCCTGCAGCAGACATTTATGAACAGGTCAGAAAATGAAGAGTGTAAATGGAAACACTGTGCCTTTAATTACAGCTGCACAAATGGCAGCACTAGAGCTACAGAATTGTTAAAAATCAGTTAAGGAAGGTTGCCACCTGATCTGCCTGCACATAATCTGTTTAATTAGGTAGTGTGTTTCTGAAATCAAATGTTTCTGGAAACTAAGACTTTTCAACAGCATGCAATTTTCCTTAGAAGAAATAGTTCAGATATTTACTGGGCTCTGCTGCTTCAAACGAACTAAGAATTTAAGAAATAATTGCACTCCTTTGCACAAATGGTATAACCTGACCCAAGCTTGTTAAAGAAACTCACCTGGTACCCTCTTAAAATGTAATATAACTTTTTTAAGATTCATTCTCAAATCATTTGGGCATTTTATAATTTTTATTTTAGTTGTTCACTAATAGAAATAATATTCATGATTCTGCAATACAGAAAATACATCTCTAATTGAAATATGTTCATAATAATTTCTATAATCCTTAAATTATAGGAAAAAAATTAGAATTTATTTTCTGCTTTTTAATAAATAATTTGACACATGCAATGAAGTTTGCTGTGATTCTTCAGTAGAAGGACTGTTAGAAACAAAAGCTGAGGAATGCTTTGTAGTAGAAAGTATCTTTTGGAAAATACTCTAGTAAGGGAACATTTGAAATTGTATTATTGGTGTTTGTGGTACCCCTATTTACAACAGTTCCATCATTCACTCAGTTATTGTTGAATTCTAGCACTATTTACTTATTAGCTCATTTATTCCTCATGTAATTATGAGGAATTTATTAATATTCTCATTTTATACATGAAGAAATTGAAACTCAAATGATTGTGGTAACTTAAGTAAGTAGATCTATGGGCATCAAAATAAAACATTCATTAATTTCCTGAGAATTTTTTTTATGATGTCACTATAAATAATTCTTAAAGAGTAGAATAAATAATTAAATTAATAACAAAGGCTGGGCGCGGTAGCTCACGCCTGTAATCCCAGCACTTGGGGAGGCTGAGATGGGCAGATCACAAGGTCAGGAGATCGAGCCCATCCTGGCTAACACGGTCAAACCCCGTCTCTACTAAAAATACAAAAAATTAGCTGGGCATGGTGGCAGGTGCCTGTAGTCCCAGCTGTTCGGGAGGCTGAGGCAGGAGAATCACTTGAACCTGGGAGGTGGAGGTTGCAGTGAGCCAAGATTGCACTACTGTACTCCAGCCTGGCTGACAGAGCGAGACTCTGTCTCAAAAGAAAAAAAATAATAAATAATAAAATAACAAATGAAGACAATGTCAAACTTATTGTATCTTACTTCTAAATCACAATGGCAATTGTAATATTTTAAGCTAATTTAAAAACATTTTATGCAAAAAGATCCCTATTGATGCCGTTCATCGATCTAGAAAAAAATAAACTCTTTTAACAATACCTGGTAAACTTCTAATTGTTTATAAAGATTAAAAAATTGTTTATAAAGATTAAAAAATCTTGTTTTTTAATATGAAAATGTTAAAACACATGGAAAACATATAGATCCTAACATGACTCCCATAAACCCATTATGTAGAGTTAACAAATGTTAATATTTTGCAAATTTGTTTCTATAACCTTTTTGCTAAATTATTTTAACATAAATTACAGATATGATACCTCAAACTTAAATACTTTTTATCAACTTAACATTTCTCCCATTATAATGCCAAAGAGTATCATTACTATACCCAAAAATGTTAACTAAATTTCCTTAATATTGTCTAATATCTTTTGCATTTTTCAGTTTCACTAATTAACCATGAATGTCTTTTAAAGTTAATTTGTTTAAACCAAGATCCAATTAATGAGGCATTATTTTTAGTTGGTATGTTTCTCTGGTCTCTTTAGCTTCTGCATCACCCCCAACCTTCTTTTTTGTGACATTGACTAGTTGAAGAGAAAGTTCCACCTATTTGTCTAATTCCTTCTTTGGCCTCATAGTATCATCCAATCTGTTTCTCTACTCCCTGTATTATTGATAAACAAGAAGTTAGATTTAGCAGCTTGGTTAAATTCATATTATAGTATTTTGGAAATGATTCTTCATAAGTGATTCTGTAAACCTACTGCATTTCATCTGATGGATACAATGTCCAATTGTCCCATTATTACTTTTACTAAGAGTGATCTGGGAATTCAGGTGGCTGCAGCATGATTCCTTCATGGTAGATTTGTGGTTTTCCCTTCCCCGTCTGAATCTTGCTGTGAAAAATGCAATTGGAGGCTGTATATTTTTAATTTTCTGTTTCATGCCAATCTCTGTAATACCAGTACCATATTCTTATATTTCCCCTGGTTTAACACATAATTTTGAGATTTATAATAGGATATATGGGGAGTTAAATAATCCTTAATTGTTGCAGACCATTTTGTCTCTTGAATAAACATCTTTAAAATGTGAAACTGCTCTTAATATTTGTGGATCTGCGAGCTGGAAGTTCTCTCATTAAAGCAAAACCATCATAGAAATCCTTTTCTGTAGGTTTATTTTTAAAAGAACTTAGTTTCCTCCTTCTTTCCAATCCCATGAAGATCAGGATTTGCTTCTGGAAAACTTACAAAGGGAGACATTGATGCTTTAATAAGGCAAGGGGTGGTTCAATGGAAAAGCATGTAGCAATAGCTCTTGCCTTAGCCAGATCAGTTCTGTTTTAATCTATTACGTGTTGAACTTCTGATTCTGTGTAACATTTGGTTTAAAAGGTAGAAAGGTATAAACAGAATAATAAAAGCACACACATATGCGCATGTGTGCGCACGCGCGCGCGCACGCGCGCGCACACACACACACACACACAATAACAACACACAGTATACAAAATATGCCACCTCTTGTCCACCTGGATCTTAGTACATGGTGTAGGAGCCTGAGAATCACCTAGATGGCATTGCCACTGGAGAAGAATCTGGAAATCCTGACCCTAGCTCCTCTTCAGATGAGGGACAATGGGTAACCATGTATGCTTTGCTAGTGTAACCCACAGGCATGGTGCATAAAATGTTTCTGTTATTTTTCAAATGGAACTGGCTATTTCAAGCTGCTGACTTTTGCTCAGGGTTTTTTTTTTTCTCTTGCTACTGTTCTTCCTTGTTTTTCTGCCAAGAAAAATTTTCTTTTTTCTTTATGAGACAGGATCTCACTTCCTTTGAGAAAATCTTAATTATCCTTCAAAAGCAGAATACAAGTCACCTCATCTCTAAAATCTTCCCTGAGCCTCTCTTCTGTCTTATCACAAGAACTTTCCAGTTTGCAACTGATTGCTGGTATAATTGTTTTCCTCCCTAAAGTGAGAGGCCCTCAAAGTTGGGTGGCATGTCCTTTTCATCCCTGTTAGTCAGTTCTTAGGTTATAATAAGCAATAAATATTTGTTTAATGGATAAAAAATATTGTAAGCCTTCTGTAAAACTGGAAAAGAGGAAAAAAAGGAAAGAAAAGGGGAGAAAGAGAGAAATCATCAACATAGAAGTCTGAGATCTTATTTAAATCTCTGACTTTGGAATATCACCAGCTTTCAGTGCAGAAAGGCACTGGTGGTCAAAGATATGCTGACACTGGCAGAACATTTTGCATTAAGTTGAAAATTTAATTTATTTACTTATGACATTAACTTAATAATGCCATAACTCTTGATGTCCAATAAATCTGTTATTGTTTTAAATTTTCCAATAAGCATTATTTGCAATATGATTTACTGGAGCACAGTCGAATACATTTTGCATCTGTAAAACCACCCGCAGAGTCACTGGTAGGTACTAGATATGCTTATTGAACTGAGTAGAAAAAAACTATGTGCCAAAAAAGAATATTCATGAAAAAACAATTCCAGTGAGAAACCAGATAATCTGTAGCTTTCTGGAAGTTTATAGAGCCACTACAAAAAGGAGGAATGAAAAGTGGGGGATAAGAAACACCTCAGGACAAATGTTATATGTTATCTCCTCAGTGCCACCAGGGATGTGCTAGTCAGAGTGTGTAAGTAGACATTTATCCACACATCGACTTTAGACGCCTCAAGGCCTGGCACAGTCAGATATGACCTGGAGAAAAATAACCTGGGATTGGAGCTCAACTGCTCACACACAATGCTTATTTCCTAAGGCCCAGGAAGGAACAGGAAGAATGGAGGCCCATTTCCTTTTTGGTATAACATTCTTTTCAGAGGGAAGATGAAAAACAAAAAAAGGGTATATGTCTATATGTGAGACTACCATATATATGTGTGTATATATATGTCTATATGTGAGACTATCATATATATGTATATATGTGTGTATATATGTCTACATGTGAGACTACCATATGTGTGTATATATATGTTGTTGTATATGTATATATTAGTGTATATATACACATAAATATACACATATTTTATATGTAATTATATACACATACATATATATAAATGTGTATACACACACACACACACACACACTAACAATTACTTAAGGATATACAGTAATTATTGTTCCAGAAACTAAGAAGAAAATAGAAAATGGCAGCAAAGAAATGGAAAACAATCCTTTGATTTTTGGCAAACTATTTTTAATTTGACATGGTATCTGGAATACTTGAAGATACTCTCAGTGTAAATTAGTTTATTAAATTTAGCAGAATTGACTATCTTTTAGAAAATATAAGAAAAATATTAATATATATCAATGAAGTGAAAAAGCAAAGCACAGAAAACTCTTTAGCAAAATTCTCTTCACTCTGATAGTATTCAGTCTCATTCTGTGAGCATAACATTTTTCTCAACTATGTTAATATTCCATCAAAAAAAATTTGTTCAAGAAAAACTGGGTTTCCAATGACTTGTTAAGAAATCAAAATATTTCTTCCTTGAATAAGAGGATCCGTTTTTTAAAAAATATATTTAGCTTTAGGAGCTTAATTTGTAAACCATTTCTTTAGCTACTAATTTTTAAGCTTAATTTTAAAACTGAATTATTAAAATATAAAATAAAAGGAAATTTTTAATAAACTTGGAATAATGTCTACACAGGTTTGATCAGGAGAATCAGTGGAATAGATAATATTAAATATTTTCTTCAATTAAAGTTATCTAAATGTGGGGGTACAGGGATGGTTGGGGCTCATATTATCTTCACAATGTTTGCATTCCATGAGGTGAGATGGATTTTAATAAAATAAATTATGATAAAGTGTGATGAGTGCAGCAGTGGGGAAATATGCAAAATCTAAATGCACTTAGCATGGAGAAGAGAAAAAGAAATTCTAAGGACCTGGCTATGCTTCCTTAAGTAGTGACACCTAAACTATTGCAGTTGTTCTTGTTGTGGTTGTTTTTCAGTAGTTGCTTTGGTTCTTAGTTGGTTTGTTTTCTAATATGGATACAAGTTCTTTAAGCTTTCATATATAGGAATAATATAAAAGGGAGGAGGAACCATGTTGAAAAACCATGATTCACAGACATGAATCAGCATATAGCATTTGGGGAATTATTACTAATTTGGTATGGCTAGAGCAATGGTTTCCAATCAGAAGTGATTTTGCCCCCACAGGGAAATTTGGCAATGGCTGGAAACATTTTTGGCTTTCACAAAGGGAGTGGGGAACAGTACTACAGCATCCAATAGGGAGAGAACAGGGATGCTGCTATAACATCCTACGGTACAAACAGGACATCCTCCACAGCAAATAATTACCTAGGCCAAAATGTCAATAACATCAAGGTTGAGAAATGCTGGGTTAGAGCATGAAAGCTTAGGTGATAAAAAGAGATGAAGCTCAACAGGCAGAGTGTCCACATTATGGGGGCAGAAGGAGGAGCTGGGATGGCTTTGAATACCTGCTTCAGGAACAAATGAGTAGCATGAGTATTATCAGTGATGAAGAAATTAAAGGAAAGATGCAGGCCCAAACACAACTGCATAGGTGTGAATGGCACAGCTAAGGAGTGCATTCACAGAGGTTACAGTGCACTTAGTTTTTCCTGGAGTTGTGCAGTGAGCAAACTGCACCATCAGTCTCAGGGAAGAAACCTTTTTGCAGATGTAAAACCTGAAGAAACTGTGAAATCTGAAATGATTGTAAAGTATATTTAGATTGAGATGTTTCATATGAAAATGCATTTTCTTTTTTTTTTTTTTTTTTAAAAAACGTGTCTAGTTTTAGAAATTACGGACTTGATTAGGAGAAAGGATTAAGAAGGGCATATAGATTGGTAAAAAAATGGGAAAAAGTTTCGGGGACAAGAAAGATCAAGAATTATGTCATAAAAATGGTGACACAAATAGAGGAACTAGTATGGGAGGTGCTGAGCCATGAGGCAGGAAAGTTTAACATTGCTTGACAAAGAGATTTGGATACTAGTTGTTGGAAGTTTAGATTTCATGCAGTAGGTTAGAAAAAGTCCTTGTAAGTTCCTGAACAGGAGAGAGATGGATGAAAATGGCCTTTGAGTAATATTGTTTTTCCAGCCGTGTGTTAGATAGATCATAGCATGAAGAAAATGAGGCATGACAGGGTGATCAGCTAGGAGACTAGTGAAGTTCTGCCCTCAATTTACAAACAAAATAGCTGCTCACTGCTCCCCATAAAATATTCCTTTATATACATGAAACGTGCTATTACGTTTCCTTTCAATTTTCTTGGGTATGTACACTTAGTCCTTTAGCCTTTTCTCATCAGGCACATTTCCCAACACTGCAGTGATTTATTTTGCTCTTGCCTTTGTACTCTCCAATTTTATTTTTCCATATCTCACTTCATTTACCATGATTCAAATTGAACAGAGTATTCTAATAAAGTTCAGATCAAAACTGAGTAGAAGGAAAGGGTCTTATCTATTTAAAATAAAATATTTATTTTTTATTTTTTAAGGAATTGAAGATTAAGAAAAATGAAAAGAGTGGGCTTAATCCAACATTTTATATTTTTAATTATAAATATTGAGTAACAAGATATGAATAACTGATTAGTAAATGTATAAGCTACTGTATTAAAAGGTATTTTTTTATTTTTATTTTTTTGAGACAGAGTCTCACTCTGTTGCCTAGACTGGAGTGCAGTGGCATGATTTTGGCTCACTGCAACCTCCACCTCCTCAGTTCAAGTAATTCTTCTGCCTCAGACTCCCAAGTAACTGAGATCACAGGTGCCCGCCACCACACCTAGCTAATTAAAAGTTACTTCTTAAAATTTAAATTTAAATTTTATTAATTTATTATTTAAATTTAAATTTTCTTAAAATTTAAGCTTGTCTTTAGTGTTTATAGATGGACATTTCCATTCAAGCCTCATTTAAATATATGAAAATTTAAAAAAATAATTGCAAGGTTATTTTAAAAAAATATTTGCCTTATTTAAAAATAAGGCAAAATTATTTTAAACTTATGGAGTTAAGTTCTCCCTGTATTCAGGCCTAGAGAAAAAAATTTGACCTCCTTCTGCCTTTCATTATAAATATAATAAAAATGTACCAGCAAAATACCTGAGTATAAATACATGAAAAGACTTTTTTCCACAAGCCCAGGACGGATTAAATGATTCAAATAATAGGAAGAAATTCTATATCAGATAATAGACTAGATTTATCTTCCTATTTGAAATAAGTTTTTCAAGTTAAAATATGGGAAACAATAATTCTCAAGACATTTTACGTTAGGCAAAGAGGGCAAAGATCCCTGTGAGGTAAAAACAAATAAGGTGAGCCTTCTGCCATGTGAGTGCTTCAGTTTACTTCCTGGATAAAGTTTCCAGGCACAACATGGGGAGAGGGAACCCAGGTAGAGCCTGGCTCTTTTTTGGAGTTAAGGAGATAAAACTGGTCATCCAGGGAATACAAGGTGGCTAAAGTTTGCAGAATAGAGTATCAGAGGTGAGAGACACACAGACAGAAACCTGAAAATCTGCATACAGTCTCCCGTGATTATTCAGTAGAGTTCTGATCAGTGCGTGTATATGTGAAAATCATCTGAGACTCGTGGAAAAAACACCCAAAAGGATTAGCGGAAACATCTGGGAATAGTCCTATTTCCATCAATCAGAGTGAAAAATCTTGTAATTTACAGGGGACAGTTCTCAGAAATCTTTGCCCCAGTGGGGCAAAATTTACCCTAGACAAAATGCCTAAGAAACTTAATAGCAAGATCCAAAAAGACCAAACTGTTTCTAAGAAATTTAAACATACTATAGAGCAAAGATCAATAATATTTATAGAAAAAATATTTATTACCCAATAACTTAAACATTTACAATGAATGGCATTCAAACAAGAAGTACCAAGCATACAAAAAAGCAAGACAAACAAACAAAAACAACAAAAATCATTCAAAACTAATCCATAAATGACACAGATTATAGAATTAGTAAAACTGTATTAAAACATTTATTATAACTGTATTCCATATGTTTAGAAAGCCAGAGGAAAGGTTGAACATGCTAAACAATCATGAAAGATTTTTTAAAAGATTCAAATCAGGCTTCCAAAGATAAAAAGTTTCAGTGTCTGAGATGAAAAATACACTGGTTGAGATTAACAGAAGATTAAACATTGCAGAAGAAAATATTAGAGAACTTGGAAACAGCAGTAGAAAATATCTAATGTGAAACATAAAGCAAAAAGCCTGGAAAAGAAAAATGAGTAGATTGTTGGTGAGTTGTGAAACAACTTCAGGTAGCCTAATATATGTATAAATGAAGTGCCTGAAGAAGGAGTAGGGCATAAAAATATCTCAAGGAATAATAGCTGAATATTTTCTCAATTTTATAAAAGCTATACATCTGCAGATATAATAACCTCAACAACAAACATAAGAAACATAAAAAAGCACACCAAAGCACATTACCATCAAATTGCATAAAAGAAGTGATAAAATCTTAAAAGCAGCCAAAGGAAAAAAGACACATTTTGGGAGAGAGGAACAAAGACACCACTGACAGCAGATTTCTTTGGAAACAATGCAAGCTAAAAGACAGTGGAGCAACATCTTTAAAATATCGAAACAAAGAAACCATAATCTAGAATTCTTCACCTACCAAAAATACCATTTAAAAACAGAGATGAAATAAAGATTTTTTTTTCCAGACAAAGACTAAATGAGTGTAACACTAGCAGACCTACATTATAAGAAATGTTGAAGGAATTCTTAAGTAGAAACAAAACATTACCACATGGAAATATGGTTCTACAGGAAGAAATGAACAGCATGGATCAGTAACTATATGAGTAAATATAAAGAGTTTTTTTTCTTATTATTTAATACCCTTTATAGTCAACTGTTTAAAGCAACAGCAATAACAATGCATCATGGAATTTATAACATATGCAGAATTGAAATGTGTGAAAACAGTGATGCAAAATTTGGTAAGGGAGAAATGGATACATACTTGGTTCTTATATGTGAAGTGTTATAGCATTGAGTACCATGTGATATGAAATACTTCAGAGATGCAAGTGTCTGCTCTGAAAAAGGAACATCTCTTGTTTTCCATTGATAGTTTCTTCAAGTCTAATTGGCATATAGTGGTGGTGAAAAGAGGGCAGGGAGTTTTGTCATGGTAGATACCATGGAAGAAATGAAGCCCAAGATGAAAAGATAAGTTTTTAAAACTTTGCCTCAAAGAGGGAATGCAAAAGTTAAAAACACAATTCAGCATCTGGTTGTACTTGCAGACAGGGCAAAGTTGAAGCCTGACACCCCAAGAGCATCCATCATGATGTATTATCAGAGGACCAGTCTAGTGGTATTTGATCCCTAGCTTCCAACTAGTATGTATTTCCTAGTTGTAATGTTAGATATATTTCTTACTATGAGTCATGGTCAGAATAGTTGGTATTCGTTTGAGGATATTTTACTGATGTGTTTTAAGACAGCTTCAGGGATTTTTTTTACCTAGACTGATTAAGGCCCTAGAAGGCTAAATACCTTTGTGTTGCTCAGATAGCCTGATTTATGAGTACCCAACAATCACATTGTAGTTCTGCTGCCCAATCCTTGTTACCTGGCCACTCCCAATAAGACTCAGATTAAAAATGACTGACCCCATGAGGAAAAGGACCCATTGGCTGACTCTCCAAGACACACAGCTGACTTATGCCCTCTTCATGATGGAATCCAAGAAAACATCTGATAACAATGGCTAACATTTAATGAGTGTTTACTCTGTTCCATTATGATTTAAGCAGTGTACAAGACATCAATCTTCATATAAACATCAAATAATCACTTTGAGGACGGTGTTAACATTTTATTTTTGCAGGTGAGAAACCTGAAGCACTGAAGTAACTGCAAATTCACACATCTAGTAAATGATGGAGTTTTGATTCAATGCAGGCAGCCTGACTCCAAGGTTATGCACTTTATCCCAATACCAAACTGCCTCTTCTCTAAACTGATAAAAACTGCTCTCTTTTCTTGCTGAAATAGAAAAGATATAGCTTTTTGAGGACCCATGGCTAATCATCAAACAATGGTTTTCCTCTCCTCCAACCCATTTCTGTACCAGAGGAGTGACCCTACCCTGCTTGGAGTGAAAAGAAGCTATACCCCTGCACTCTTCTCTAGCTCAAACTAAGGAGGAATGAAAGGCAACATTAGATAGGTATTTGCACATGTGTGTTTTTATCCATATTCTGTGAATTGGTGTCTCTGTTAAAATATCCAATCATCTGGAGAAAAGATAACCTGCTTTAGCTTCTTCTGGCATTAAAAAGTCAGTCTTTCATCAGTCAGACAAACGTATTCTGGGACAAGCTTAAGTAGTGGCCCTCACGCACTGTTAGATTTTCTAACAGCTGAAGGGTGAATAAGGAGGAACACAATTGGAAGCAGAGTTAACAGAGTTGGCAGAAGAAATATGTAAAGGATTTATTTAGTTTTGTGTTGAGGGTTTTGTGATGTCAAGGCTCCATAAAATCTTAACTAAAATTGGCACTGCTCTCCTAGAGTTCTTGGTAAAGTTAGAATGTATTCCGGGAAATGTAGAGATGCCAGTTTCAAAGAAGTGGTCATTGAAAGATAGCTGGATTATGCTAACATTGATTTTTCACATTCTATTCCAAGATTTTTTTGTGCTCAGTAGTCAATATCTCTCTAAAATGCTTAACTTTAAATATGTGACATTATATCACATTAAAATGCTATATATAACTCAAATATAGAAAGTTAGTCCCCAAATATTGTATAAATGTGTATATATATTTTCACTGAACTATCAATGTACCAAGTTTCTCCAAATTTTAAATTTAAATTTTGGCTAAAAATTTCACCAATGTATAATAACCTTCATAAAGCTGAGTATGCACAGAACCATAGATATTAAGATGGTATGACCTTCTTGAAAATAGATTATGCTTACTTAATTCTAACATTCAGAGCTTTAAGCATGCATAAGGACTTAATAAATGTGTGTTTATTGGTGCTAATGATAAGATTAAAACGTTTCGAGGGCTGTTAAAATTAGATTTAGCACATTGTTTAAAAACCACAAATTCCATAAAGAAAATATTTCAAGTACATAGTTAATAATATTTTTACTGCGTTTTTCAACTATTTTTAATTCTTTAACTAAATGTGAAAATTAACATTTTAATATCTTGGTAGTGGTTTCCGTATTTCTTGGGTCTATCAACATAATAATAATAGCTAACCTTTGTTTATTTTTACTATAAGCCAGGAAAATGTGTTAGACACTTGAACAAGTTATCTTATTAAAACCTTAAATAACTCGATGATGAATTCACCATTTTACCTTCATTTTATATGTACAAAACAGAAGCTTAAGTCATCGTTTGGCTAATTTCACACACACAGAAAATAAGGGGGAGCAAATTCAAACCACCAAGTTTTATTCCAGAGGCTGTGCTCTTAAGTACTGCATTTTTCTTTCTGTACTGCATTTCTTTCTTTCTTTCTTTCTTTCTTCCTTTCTTTCTTTCTTTCTTTCTTTCTTTCTTTCTTTCTTTCTTTCTTTCTTTCTTTCTTTCTCTTTCCTTTCCTTTCCTTTCCTTTCCTTTCCTTTCCTTTCCTTTCCTTCCTTTCCTTCCTTCCTTCCTTCCTTCCTTCCTTCCTTCCTTCCTTCCTTCCTTCCTTCCTTCCCTTTATTCCTTCCCTTTCTTCGCTTTTTTTTTATGCTTTCAGTTTTTGGGTACATGTGCACAACGTGCAGGTTAGTTACATGTGTATACATGTGCCATGTTGGTGTGCTGCACCCATTAACTCATCATTTAACATTAGGTATATCTCCTAATACTATCCCTCCCCCCTCCCCCGACCCCACAACAGGCCCCAGTGTGTGATGTTCCCCTTCCTGTGTCCATGTGTTCTCAGTGTTCAATTCCCACCTATGAGTGAGAACACGTGGTGTTTGGTTTTTTGTCCTTGAGATAGTTTGTTGAGAATGATGGTTTCCAGCTTCATCCATGTCCCTACAAAGGACATGAACTCATCATTTTTTATGGCTGCATAGTATTCCATGGTGTATATGTGCCACATTTTCTTAATCCAGTCTATCATGGTTGGACATTTGGGTTGGTTCCAAGTCTTTGCTATTGTGAATAGTGCCACAATAAACATACCTGTGCATGTGTCTTATAGCAGCATGATTTATAATCCTTTGGGTATATACCCAGTAATGGCATTGCTGGGTCAAATGGTATTTCTAGTTCTAGATCCCTGAGAAATCACCACACTGACTTCCACAATGGTTGAACTAGTTTACAGTCTCACCAACATTGTAAAAGTGTTCCTATTTCTCCACATCCTCTCCAGCACCTGTTGTTTCCTGACTTTTTAATGATCGCCATTCTAACTGGTGTGAGATGGTATCTCATTGTGGTTTTGATTTGCATTTCTCTGATGGCCAGTGATGATGAGCATTTTTTCATGTGTCTGTTGGCTGCATAAATGTCTTCTTTTGAGAAGTGTCTGTTCATATCCTTTGCCCACTTGTTGATGGGGTTGTTTGTTTTTTTCTTGTAAATTTGTTTGAGTTCATCGTAGATTCTGGATATTAGCCCTTTGTCAGATGAGTAGATTGCAAAAATTTTCTCCCATTCTGTAGGTTGCCTGTTCACTCTGATGGTAGTTTCTTTTGCTGTGCAGAAGTTCTTTAGTTTAATTAGATCGCATTTGTCAATTTTGGCTTTTGTTGCCATTGCTTTTGGTGTTTTGGACATGAAGTCCTTGCCCATGCCTATGTCCTGAATGGTATTGCCTAGGTTTTCTTCTAGGGTTTGTATGGTTTTAGGTCTAACATTTAAGTCTTTAATCCATCTTGAATTAATTTTTGTATAAGGTGCAAGGAAGGGATCCAGTTTCAGCTTTCTGCATATGGCTAGCCAGTTTTCCCAGCACCATTTATTAAATAGGGAATCCTTTCCCCATTGCTTGTTTTTGTCAGGTTTGTCAAAGATCAGATAGTTGTAGATATGTGGCATTATTTCTGAGGGCTCTATTCTGTTCCATTGATCTATATCTCTGTTTTGGTACCAGTACCATGCTGTTTTGGTTACTGTAGCCTTGTAGTATAGTTTGAAATCAGGTAGCATGATGCCTCCAGCTTTGTTCTTTTGGCTTAGGATTGACTTGGCGATGCGGGCTCTTTTTTCATTCCATATGAACTTTAAAGTAGTTTTTTCCAATTCTGTGAAGAAAGTCATTGGTAGCTTGATGGGGGATGGCAATGAATCTGTAAATTACCTTGGGCAGCATGGCCATTTTCACGATATTGATTCTTCCTACCCACGAGCATGGAATGTTCTTCCATTTGTTTGTATCCTCTTTTATTTCCTTGAGCAGTGGTTTGTAGTTCTCCTTGAAGAGGTCCTTCACATCCCTTGTAAGTTGTATTCATAGGTATTTTATTCTCTTTGAAGCAACTGTGAATGGGAGTTCACTCATGATTTGGCTCTCTGTTTGTCTGTTGTTGGTGTATAAGAATGCTTGTGATTTTTGCACATTGATTTTGTATCCTGAGACTTTGCTGAAGTTGCCTATCAGCTTAAGGAGATTTTGGGCTGAGACAATGGGGTTTTCTAGATACACAATCATGTCGTCTGCAAACAGGGACAATTTGACTTCCTCTTTTCCTAATTGAATACCCTTTGTTTTCTTCTCCTGCCTAATTGCCCTGGCTAGAACTTCCAACACTATGTTGAATAGGAGTGGTGAGAGAGAGCATCCCTGTCTTGTGCCAGTTTTCAAAGGGAATGCTTCCAGTTTTTGCCCATTCAGTATGATATTGGCTGTGGGTTTGTCATAGATAGCTCTTATTATTTTGAGATACGTCCCATCAATACCTAGTTTATTGAGAGTTTTTAGTATGAAGGGCTGTTGAATTTTGTCAAAGGCCTTTTCTGCATCTATTGAGATAATCGTATGTTTTTTGTCGTTGGTTCTGTTTATATGCTGGATTACGTTTATTGATTTGTGTATGTTGAACCAGCCTTGCATCCCAGGGATGAAGCCCACTTGATCATGGTGGATAAGCTTTTTGATGTGCTGCTGGATTCGGTTCGCCAGTATTTTATTGAGGATTTTTGCATCCATGTTCATCAGGGATTTTGAAACCAACGAGAACAAAGACACAACATACCAGAATCTCTGGGACACATTCAAAGCAGTGCGTGGAGGGAAATTTATGGCACTAAATGCCCACAAGAGAAAGCAGGAAAGATCTAAAATTGACACCCTAACATCACAATTAAAAGAACTAGAGAAGCAAGAGCAAACACATTCAAAAGCTAGCAGAAGGCAAGAAATAACTAAGATCAGAGCAGAACTGACAGAAATAGAGACACAAAAAAACCCTCCAAAAAATCAATGAATCCAGGAGCTGGTTTTTTGAAAAGCTCAACGAAATTGATAGACCACTAGGAAGACTAATAAAGAAGAAAAGAGAGAAGAATCAAATAGATGCAATAAAAAATGATAAAGGGGATATCACCACCGATCCCACAGAAATACAAACTACCATCAGAGAATACTATCAACAACTCTACACAAAAAAACTAGAAAATCTAGAAGAAATGGATAAATTCCTGGACACCTACACCCTCCCAAGAGTAAACCAGGAAGACATTGAATCTGTGAATAGACCAATAACAGGCTCTGAAATTGAGGCAATAATTAATAGCTTACCAACCAAAAAAAGTCCAGGACCAGATGGATTCACAGCCTCATTCTACCAGAGGTACAAGGAGGAGCTGGTACCATAACTGCTGAAAGTATTCCAATCAATAGAAAAAGAGGGAATCCTCCTTCATTTTATGAGGCCAGCATAATCCTGATACCAAATTCTTTCTTCCCTTTCTTTCTCCTTTCCTTTCTTTTCTTTTTTTTTTTTTTTTTTTTTTTTTTTTTGTCACTGCTGCCCAGACTGGAGGGCAGTGGCACACAATCTCGGCTCACTGCAACCTCCACCTCCCAGGATCAAGCGATTTCATGCGTCAGCCTCCTGAATAGTTGGGATTACAGGCTTGTGCCATCATGCCCAGCTAATTTTTGTAGTTTTAGTAGAGACAGGGTTTTGCCATGTTGGCTATGCTGGTCTCCAACTCCTGACCTCAGGTGATCTGCCCACCTCAGCCTCCCAAAGTGCTGGGATTACAGGTGAGAGCCACGGCACCTGGCCTGCATTTCTTTACCTATAATTATCTATCTCTCTTGACCTCTAATGTCACTAATTCATAAATAGCAAAAAAGTCTAAATACTTCTCCTCAAATTAGGCTAACCTCTGAGTTTTTCTTGCTGGGTATTACTTTCCTAGTTTCCTTTCTTCAAGGTACTTTCACCAACATAAAGCCTCTTGTAGCAATTAGTTAAATTTGATAAATTTTATCACTTATTGGAAGGATAGAAAGTAACTTTAGCAACAAAAATATGAAAATAAGCATGAATATTACTTGAAGTCAAAGGGTAGTTAGAGATGGGGTGATGATTCTTTGTTTAAAATTAAAGCCATTACTTTTTATACAGTTGGTGATTATCAGAGAGGGACAGAGAGAATGGGGCATGCAATAGAATTTGATGAATATTTTATAGTTGGTGAAAATAGAAAAGCAGTTACTAAACACTGCCAGATGATGTGCTGCTGTAGGATCCCTGAAGTGGTAGAGCAGAATGAACATACTGGGGTACTTTGAGGCCAAGTACAGACATGATTAAAAAATCTCGTTAACAGAAAGGCCATAATGAATTATATTTATAGTAATATTGAGATAATAATAATATCATTTGAAAGACTTTTGGAGACATTTTAGCGTGGATAAACATAGTTATTTTCCAGAATAATGATTTTGAAAATAACTGTTAGCATTATGTATTTGAGAAAACACAGCGGCAACAACTGTGAACTTGATGCCAATATTTTCTGACTTTTTGTTTTTCTGGTTCTATAGCTATAAGGTAGGCATATTTTCAACAGTAATTTTAGGAAATAAAACAGCTTGAGATGGAAGATTATTAATGAGGAGGCTTATGAACATTCCCTGAATGTTTAGGAATGGATATATAAATGAACACCATTATGAACGCATTAAATATTAATATTGATATTTAAGTATATATTTTACTTATCATTGGACCTCTGTCTAATGAGCATATAGGTTTTATTGGGTTTATTTTCAGGCAACGCTCTTCACCAATCAAATGAATAAGAATGAGGAATTTTTGCTTACTTTAGGAGCTATGGGTGTGCGTGCATGTGTGTGTTTGTGTGTGTGTGCTGTTTCTGTATGGGTAATATTTAGGTGTAGTGTTTTGTCTATATTTATCTAAAAACTTATGACTTAATGACAACTCATCAGATACAACTAATGAGTTTAGCAGAAAAATTGGATTAGGCCATTTTTTCATCTGTTTTACAAAAACTGATATAAGCCAGTTTAATAAAAGGGCACAAGCTTTTCTCTAAATGGTAATTTTATAAGACATTTAAAAATAATAATTCAATCTACTTTTATGTGGGTCATGATTTATGTGAGTTATGTGAATCATGATTCAGCAAAATTTTATTTGGGGAATAAGAATATACTATTCTCTTTAATTCTCTCTTTCATTAGTTTGAATAACAACTTAGCACCATAATTTACAGACATAATGTTTTCTAGTTTTGATCTGACAACTTAAATCTAACAATTAATAAGATAATTTATAAATAATCAGGCCCATTAGGACAGAAATGCTTTCCATAGCAATTATGTGCAGCTAAATGTTTCCTCAAGGAAACATTTGACTCTATGTCCATGTGCATGCATATGGAAATATAGTGTTATTTAGATATAAACTAATATCTATTGTTTAAGCTAATATTATATAATAGATATCTGAGTATTCAGAAACAACTTAAAAATGTGCTTTTAGTCAAAAGGATAATTCCTGAAATTTATTACCTTCATTTAAAAAATATAAATTTCCTTATGTACTTCAAAAAGAATAAAGTTATGGAGCTGTGTAAATTTCTCTATTGAGAAAAATCAATATTTTATAAATATTTTTAAATTATAGAAAAAGTAAGGTTAATATTTGATGTTTTATACCTAAACTTTCAAAAATATAATGTTCTCTTGCGTCTGTTTTCTTTTAAAATCTGGTTACACTGACTTCAGATATAATTAAGAACTCTGCTTTGTTATATTTGGAAAATCAAAACATACCAGATTTGAGCTGATAGAAAAAGAAAATGCTCTTGCTCAGAGTATTACAATATAAAATATTGTAGAGGGCAATAGTATATTCAAAACCTTTTTCTTTGAAGAAATAAAAAATGGGTAAAGACTTGTGTTTGCAGTTTGTATGTGTATCATTTAGCAGATTTAATATTTTAATTTTTCAGTTGTTTGCTTGACATTGGAGTATATTTTATCCTTCCTTTAAATTGTTACAGGTGACATATTTATTTTTGATACAATAAGTGAATTAAAATGGGATTTATTTGCATATTTTTATGTATGCCCTGGTGGGTAGCAAAATTATGCTTGGAAATTTCTGGCTTCAGTAAGTTTTTTAGTCTTCATATTCACAAATAAATAATCTCTTTAATTGGATCAAAGCAACTTACCCAAGGTTCATGTGAATTCTTTATCAGCAGGATTATTGTATTATGAGAATCTGAGTTTCATATTTACAGTCCTGTGTCTGAGATAATTGGATTGTTTTGGTAAAGAATTGTGCTAACAAAAGGAAAATGAGGCAGAGGAAGAAAAGAAGGAACTTGATACATACAAATAGACACGAATACAAGAAAAAAGTTAGGCACTACATTAACCAATGTGAGATATAAAGGAATATGAATAATTAATTTGTTTAAAGCAGTGTACCTCCAGAAAAAATTTTGGTCTGTATTTGGCATCGTCAAATGCCATTTAATAAAATAGCACCAGAATATTGATTAAGTAGTGTTGCTTTGAATGGTACAGTTTTATGCTTTTTATTCCCTGGGCAAAGTAAGTTATTATTCCTGGAAGAAATAAAGTTGGGCAAAGTCTATTACAGAATCACACTAGTCAATTATGCTAAATTTCTGCCCAGGATGCTGACTGCCTTGGTTTAAACTGTTAGTCTTTACCTCATCTACAGTTTCTTTTCCTTCAATAGATATATATTAATCTACTAGAGTGTTCCAGATATATTTTTAAGTGCTAGAGAACATAAAGATGAATGAGACACGGTCCTTGTCGTTATGAGGATCCCAGTCTACTAAATGAGAAGTATTGTAATTTTTTAAATGGGCTTATAACATTAATGGCTACCATTTTAAGCACTAGTCATGTATTAGGCATTATTAAATGTTTTCACCAACTCCCTTAACATTTCCATGGAATTAAAGAAAAAGATGAAGCCAGGAGGCTTCTGAAACTAGCCAGCAACACACAGGAAGGAAACAACCTTGCCAGCAGAGCTGCTGAGGAAAGACCTTAAGACATGTTCTGGAAGGATCCAGTGGCTGGAACTGGAATAGTACAAATACCAGTTAATATCTAACTGATAAAATAAGGCATTTAATATAGGGTGCTTAAGATTTCATACTTTATCCTCAGCAGAAATGGGAAACTACTACATATTTTTGTATGGATTTTATTGATCTCTCAGCGATATCTGTCACATTTTCTACTGTGGTTCCTAAAACCTTTGATACCCAGTGTCTCCAGTACAGTGTCACTGTAATAACATATCTTCTATCGTAGGTCTGCACTTACTCTTTACAGTTTCAGTGTACAATTTACAGTTTCAGTGTACTTTCAAAATAAGTATCTTAAAGAATAAGATATCTTATTCTTACAGGAATCTGAGATATGTAGCACATACTTTAACTATTTTGGAGAAGGGAGAAATGCTGAGTGTTCCAGCAGCTATCATAATAACCCTTGCATATTTTTCAGTAGCATAAGATTAGAATTATGGGAACAAGAAGGAGATGCAGCCATGTGGGATGGAGGAGAAGCAAGAGAAGTGAATGCTGTGTTGGGGCTGGGGGGACCCAATGCTAAGGACAACTGACAATCACTTCAACATCTCCCATCTGCCAACCTCACTAGCAACATCACTTCTATAGTAAACTACCATCTGGCATGGCTAAGAAATGAGATGTTTTACTAAATAACGTACTCAGTTTAATAGAACTTTTGGGTTGAATTATGTGCTTTCAAATAAGTAGACTAAAGGACATGTAGTATAAAATTATGCAGCCCATATTTTAAACTTTCTTTGAACATCTAAAACTACTTCAGGCCTACTCAGTCCCTTGGATCTTCATAAATTTGGGGGAAAAAACCCTCATACTTTCAAGGCACCATGTCTGACACTGGGAATGCAAAGATGAAATCCTATAGCCCCTACCCTTAAGGAGCTCGCCATTTAGCCAATCGTGCAATAATTACATTGATTATAGAGCATCTGAGTATTTATGTCAAGGTACATGACCAGCCTAGGAATAATGATGGAGGTATACAGGAAGACAGAATGGAAAATTAAACCCAAGCAACATGGAAAACAATGTTATGAGCTGTAGCTAATACTATAGATACAACAAAATTGAAAGTAATAGAATGTTCTAGTTGAAAATTTATTCCACGGGTCCTAAAGTCACCCCTTTGTAGATTACTTGTAACATTACTTGTATTTTTATGAAATACGTGATCACTATGTAATTTTTGCATGGTATTGACTAAGACAAGAGAGTAATTTCCCAGTCAGAAAATGTTATTGTTGCATACTGGGCTAACCCACCCTCTTGTAGTTTGTAGGTGCCAACTATGAACCCAGGTTTTGTTGTTTTGATTCATCGATGTTTACGCTGTCATTTTTTTTTAGCTTTTCCTGCTTCACACTAATTATACTATTCACTATCCTGCACTCTGCTTTTCACTTTGCTTCCACTCCTGTCTCACGCTGAGAAACCATTTCACACCTGTATCAATGCAGTGCTCTCTATTCGTCATCCCACATCTCACTGCAGTTAAAGTAAAATTTTTGAATGATAAGCCTAATCATGTCACTTCCCCTCATAATATCTATTAGTGGCCATGATGATAAAAGCCTATAACATGTCTACAAGGCCCTGCAGTGGTCTAATCCACGCCTCTCCTTCTAGCTTCATCTTGTACTACTGTCTCCGTGCTCACTATGCTACAGCAACACTTGCCTGTTTTCAAATCCTGGAATACATCCTATGGCATCTTGTCTCATAGCTTTTCACATGCTGTTCTCTCTCCCTACAATGCTCTGATACCCCTGCCCCCGAACCCTACCTCGGCTTCCTTAATACTTATTTATCCTGATGTCAGTCCAAATGACCCTTCCTCTACAAACATTTTTCTTGTCCTCCAGAAAAAGCTGGTTGTCTTTGTTGGTGTGCCATGCCCATTCATAGCTTGAATATCAATCTGTTTTTGCCATTTTAATATAATTATATTCACTCATTGAACAGGTATTTATTGAACATTTACTATGTTCCAGACACTGGAGTTACATGGTCTTATGTCCATGTCCATGTTACATGTAACTGGAGTTACAAAAGACAAAGAAGCCCTATTTTTTTTAACGAAGTTTATAGTTTAATGGTTGAAAAAAATGAAATGAATAATACTTTAAAAACTGAATTTCACACATAGTTTCTGTAGATGAAATAAAACAAGGTGATTTGGTAAAAAGCACAAAGCAGAGAGGGACAAGTGGGTTATTTAGAGTGGATATCAAGTAAGGCTTTCTAAGGAAGTGACATTTGGACTGTGATTTTATTGCTAAGAGAATGCCAATCACAGGAGGGCCAGGTGGCAGAACTTTCAAGGAAAGGGAAAGGCCAGTGAAAATGTCTGTCTGGAGGCAGAAACAAGCATGGCAGTTGGAAGAAGAAGACCAGTGTGGCAGATTTAATTAAAATTGGCCGTCACGTGCCTGTCTCCTCCACTAGACTGCAAGTGTCTGTAGGGTGGGGCTCTGTCTCCTTTATGTCTGAAGTTTATTGTACAAAATCACACTTTAAAACTCTGCTCAGCAGTTAATTCTTTTGGGAAGAATTTGATGTCTTCTCTCCTGCTCTCTGCCCATCCCCACCACAGAAACACACACCTGCATTCATCCTGGGTAGAAATGACTGCTTTCTTTTTGTAATTCAATGCTACTGCCTTCATATATTTTTTCTTAACATGTGGAACATTTTCTCGTATTTGTTTGTTTTTATACCTCTCACTTCTAACAATGTCTTGAGAGTAGGGACTATTTCTGATTCAGTTACATGTTTCAAATGCCTAGTGTAATAAGCTCTTAAGCATGCAATCAAATTTTGTTGCAATGAATGAGACAACGAATATATACTGCCTTATCTCTGCTATGGCTTCTATTTTTGTCTTGGTCAAGGTTTCTTGGAAAACAGAACCTGAGGTTAGGTACCTTAAATGGTAATGTGGTTATTGAGATGTACAATCTCAGGGCCAGGCAAATGGAAGTGATGCCAGGCAGGATGAGAATGAGATGATGTTACACAACTGGCTCTCAACTAGTTGCTTGGCCATATGAGATGTCTCCAGATAGGCTGTTTGGAAAATCCACCCCTAGAGGAGTATTCACCAGAGGCATGATAGAGAGGGAATTTATCTGCTGACTTCCTCTTGCCTCTAGTTTTCTATTATTTATCAATGTATTGATGTTAACTCCCCTGGGTCAACTGGCCCCACGGGTACCCTATGGAGAAGTAAGATCTCTTGCCTGTACTTCATCTGGGACCGAAAGCAATGGGAAGAACTGGAGATTCAGTGTTGGTCTCAGGCAGTTGGTCAACAGGGGCCCACAGGGTCAGTTGTGGCAGTGGCAGCTATGGTGGAACAAATGGCCAAGGACATGAGATTGCAGGCAAATTTGAGCTGCTCTGAGAAAGTGCATAAGAAGTGACTAATAAAATCTGCAAACTTGATTTTCTTCTAAGCTCTTTCTTCTCCACCCATAAAAATATTTAACTTGGCCGGACACAGTGGCTCATGCCTGTAATCCCAGCACTTTGGGAGGCCAAGGCAGGTGGATCACCTGAGGTCAGGAGTTCAAGGCCACCCAGACTAACATAGAGAAACCCCGTCTCTACTAAAAATACAAAATTAGACAGGCGTGGTGACCCATGCCTGTAATCCCAGCTACTTGGGAGGCTGAGGCAGAAGAATCACTTGAACCCAGGAGGCGAAGGTTGTGGTGAGTCGAGATGGCACCATTGCACTCCAGCCTGAGCAACAAGAGCAAGACTTCGTATCAAAAAAAAAAAAAAAAAAATAGACCAGTTACGGTGGCTTACACCCATTATCTCAGCACTTTGGGAGGCTGAGGCAGGAGGATCACTTGGGCCTAGGAGTTCTAGATCAGCCTGGGCAACATAGGGAAACCTTGTCTCTACAGAAAGTAAAAAAATTAGCTGGGCATGGTGGTATGCACCTGTGGTCCCAGCTACTCCTGAGGCTGAGGTGGGAGAAATGCTTGAGCCCAAGAGGTCAAAGCTGTAGTGAGCTATGATTGCACCACTGTACTCCATCCTGGGTGACAGAGCAAGACCCTGTTTCTTCAAAATATTAAATAAATACATACATAAATGCATATATAAAATGAAAACAAGAAACAAACTTCTGTGACCCCAAATTCCCTTTTAATTTCCTCTTAGTTCCCTCTCTCCTTTCTACCAAAACTTTTGTTCCATGTGTCTATGCCTCACCCTTGACACACCATGGAGGGCCAGCCCCCTTTAGGGTTTTACATCTGCTGTGCTCTTATATGGCTCCCATCTCTTTGGTCTTGCTGTCATCTGCGCCTAGAGTGATCTTTTCTACTTTTTTATGTCTTTGTAACTCGGACCAAATGTCATCTATGCCACTTGCTGACCCTTTTCCCAGCTTAGTCTGAATGTCACGCCCCTCCTTACTTAAAATGGCATCCTGCCCTTCCCTGAATCATAATACTTATCACATTGGTTTAATATGGTATGTTTTATACATCCTTCCAAAAATATTGTGAGACCGAATTCTCTCACTTTTAGATTCATCTTTGTGTATTGATTTTTGGTTCAATGTCTTGTCCACAGTAAGTAGTAAATACATGTTAGCTAAGCAAAACTATACTAGTTAAGACTAATAGAATAGGCGACTGACCAGAAGATCTTATTTAATTTTAACCTGGAAAAAAAGGCCAGAAAATAATACATAAAATTTCACCTTATAATTAATAAACTCTTGATTTAATTGTGATTTAAAATTATATTATGAAAATATGTTAAAGTGATGATTATCTGTGATAGAGTCTTCAAGATGGCCATGATCAATTATTTCCTTTCCTTTGTGACTTTGTTTCTTTTCCATCAAGAGGTTGTGTTTATTCCCTTCCCCTTAATTTCAGAATTCAGGCTGGGTTTATAACTTGTCTTGGTTAACAGAATGTGAAAGAAATACCTGAAAGGAGGTGAAAAGCTTCCACTTTCTCTTTTGAGGCATTCAGCTGCAATATGAGTAGTGTATCTTCCCAATATCACCATGTGGTATTGTGAGAATGACTAATCTAGTCGTGTGAAGAGAAAGAGGTCACATTAAAAAACAAACAAAACAAAACAAAACAAACAAACAAAAACCCTGACTTGTGACCTGACATGAAGCTTTTTGAACTTTTCCGCCCAGGTCTGCAGCCAAGTAAAATGCACCCAAATGAGTAATCCCAGCCAGTGCCACCTGGAACAGAACAACCTCTCAGCTCAGCTCATCTAACCTACAGAACCATGAAAAAATAATAGATCATTGTTCTAATCTACAAGGTTTAGGGTGATTTGTTGAATATTGATAGATAATGGAAATACCCATATTTAGCTTGGCATTTCCTTTAAAAATGAGTCTTAACTTTATGACTTAGTACCAAAATGGTTGGCTTCTGATAATGACCCTAGAATTGATTACAGTCAAGCCTGATCATTCAGTTTACAAGAGTCCACCAAGTGTTTCTGTGAAAGTAGAACATTATAGAATGCATTATAAGATGGGCACAACAGAATTGTGTGCATTGCTTTGTGGCCATATGCACACAGTAGACTCTTATTAGTGGAATGATGAGTACATAAGAAACATGAGAAAAATAATAGCTGGTGGGGAAGACTCTAAGTAAAGGAAAACCCTTGACATCATTAGGAGTAAACTTGCTGTATTAGGGTTCTCCAGAGAGACAGACCAATAGGAGATATATATATATGAGAGAGGCGATTTTTTTAGGGAAATTGGCTTACAGTATTATGGAGACTGAGAAGTCTCATGATAGACAATAGGCTGTCTGCAAGCTGGAGAACCAGGGAAGCCAGTTGCCTTACTGTCCAAGGCTGAAAGCCTTAGAAACAGGGAAGCCTGTGGTGTAACTCCATTTGTGGATGAAAGCCACAGAGTCCAAAGACCAGAGAACCTGGAGTTTTAATATCCAGGGGCAGGAGAAAAAGGGTGTCCCAGATCCAAGAAAGAGTAAACAAATTTGCCTTTTCTCTGCGTCTTTGTTCATCTGCATGCTTCACTAATTGAATGGTGCACACCCACATTAAGGGGGGATTTTCCTCACTAAGTGTACAGACTCACATGCCAATCTCCTAGGGAAATACTCTCAAAGACACATCTAGAAATCATGTTGTACCAGTTTTCTTGGTATCCCCTAATCCAGTCAAGTTGACACCTTGCTTACTTGCAATCATGCAACTTTCTAACAATATGTTGAAAATAATGTTAGTAATAACAATAACAATAAAAAAGCACATTTTATTGAGTTCTTATATATGTCTAGAAAATAGTATCTCATTTAATACTCAGAATAACCATATGAGACAGTTGCTATAATTATAGCTACTTCACAGTTAATTAAACTGAAATATAGAGAAATTGAGTAACTTGTACCAAGCCACATGACAAGTGGTAGAGTCTGGCTGAAAGCAGATTGTCTGATACTAGACCCCTCAATTGTTAACTGCTGGTTATACTAATATATAATGTCTGTTAGCATAATCACCTATTATATATATGTATATAAATGTGCAATATTCATAATTCTACTGTGTGTGTGTGTGAGTGTGTGTGTGTGTGTGTGTGTGTGTGTGTGTGTGTGTATTATGCTTTTCTTTAAGCAACAAATGCTGCCATGACAAGATGTTTTGGAATACCAAGGTCCTCTATATTTCAATGTCGAAGGTAGTACATAGCTTTGGTAAATGACTTCCCTTTACTGATAGCCTGACTGTACCTACTTTCCCCTTCCTTCTATCCCTTATTTGGATGTTGTAACTGGAATTACCTTCTCCAGTCCTCCTTGCTGCTCATTGAACAGCTCATGAACCAACTGGGCTATGTATATCCATTATTAAAGAACAAGAACCTGATGTTAGGACAGAATAAAGGTATTTGAGTATAATATGTAATCTATTATTTTCTCATTACTTCTACCTCAACTGTTATTCCTTAGTTCTCCAAATAGGAGAAAATAATTTTTACCTCTTTTGAAATCACAAGCGGGGTTGTAGAAGTGATTTTAAACATTCAGGCACATACTCCCATACACACATAACAAACCCTATTCCACCCATCAGCTTAATGTTCTTGGCAATTTATTTAACTCACACTGTGGGCAACCACTGCCAGCTTCAATTGGCTTGCTGCCTTTATTGATGTTTTCAGGACCCAAGACCTTTTTATTCATGTTTCCCATTAATCTCAGATGCTTTACAACATTTCTAAAGACAGGAAAACATATTGGGTCAAATTTACAGCTATCTTTGAACTCAGTAGTTGAATCTGCTAAGTCAAACCCAGGTTTCAGCCAGCAAAGTAGCTTTGAAATGCTAGTTTGAAAAAGACTCAAAAAGCTTTCTTAGGTGTCAGTTCCTCCTGGGAGAAAAGAGACAGGAATCGCATTTTAATGATTCAAGTCTAGGTATATCACAAGTGCAGCCTGTTTATTTTATTTTTAGTGGAGTGAGAAGAATCACCTATTGAAGATGCTTTCTTATATCCACATATTTATTTTATTTTTAGTGGAGTGAGAAGAATCACCTATTGAAGAATCTTTCTTAAATTCACATATTTAGTCTGTTTTTTTAAAAAGTTTAAACCCATCACACACTACAGAGGCAAGATATTTTTATAAATCACATGCTTTCATCTTACATGATATCTTAGTAATACAGTAATTCTTTAATATAAGGCTTACAAATATTTTAAAAAACTTTTCAGCATAATTCTTTTGAGAATAGGGCTAGTATTGGTCACAACTATAAAACATGGCATTTATTTTTGGTTCCCTGTCATCTTTCTTCCAGTCCTTTGTATTACCCACCAGGTATACCTACCTTGGGGCCCATCTATCAGTGCTTCAGCTCTCAGCAATAACCTATTACTTTTAAAATAAAGGGTGTTTTCTCTGGGCAAAATTAAGAAGTTAGTCAGCCCTCCTTTGATCTTTATGACACTTTTCAACATTTCCCACCCCTGCTTACTTTCTCTTCCTTCAGGTGTTAGAAAATCTTTTTAAAATATCCCCTCTCACTCCATCAGATAGGGGAATTAACAGCAATATTTATTATTTTATTACCTAATCATAAGCTAAAACAAATATCTTTTAACCAAATATATATCAAAATTTGTACTTTAAGTTCAATTTCTGAGTTTTAATGGTGGCAATGTTAGGTTTCAGCCTCCTTTAAATATACTTTTGAGTATGAGAATATGTGTGGGGGTATGTCTCAAAGATAAGGAACCCCTGGAGTTGCATGTTTAATCCAAAGGTAGACTTGCAAGTATTACTGACTTCAGAATGAAGCAGTGTAGTGGGGAAGGGAAAATCTCCTAATGCCTTCCCAAGGAGGACAAGCAAGTGCAGGTCCAGCCAAGGCTTCTTACCTAGGTTTCCCTTGCATTTGGAAGATGTATCAGCCAGAGGTCAGCTGCAGATAAATTAGTAAAACCAGCCTAGCAATTTTAAGAAGAAATGGCTTAAATATAGGGAAATATACAATTATAAAATAGTTGGAAGTACTGAAGGACAGGCTCTGGGATGGCCTCTGTAATTCTACCACAGACCAGGCCCTCCAGGGATGCTGCCAACTGTCACCATTAGAAAGGTGGGTGATTGGGCCGGGCGCGGTGGCTCACGCCTGTAATCCCAGCACTTTGGGAGGCCGAGACGGGCGGATCACGAGGTCAGGAGATCGAGACCATCCTGGCTAACACGGTGAAACCCCGTCTCTACTAAAAATACAAAAATTAGCCGGGCATGGTGGCGCGCGCCTGTAGTCCCAGCTACACGGGAGGCTGAGGCAGGAGAATGGCGTGAACCCGGGAGGCGGAGCTTGCAGTGAGTCGAGATCGCGCCACTGCACTCCAGCCTGGGCGACAGAGCGAAACTCCGTCTCAAAAAAAAAAAAAAAAAAAAAAAGGTGGGTG